>NC_000013.11:83299006-83451847 GCF_000001405.40 Homo sapiens
CCATATTTTATCTTGTTTTATTCTTAAAATTGCAGACTTTTAAAATATTTGAGAATGAGATGTAACTTTTTCTTTTTTGAAAATCTCTCAATATAGCCAAAGTACTTTTTGGCTTAATGGCATATGCAAAAGTTAAGAGTACAACTTCTTACTTACCATTCCATTGTTTCTGCAAGTAACAAATTAAAAGAAATTCTAGGATAGATAGAGTTACATCTTCAACAATAACAAAAATATTCAAATATTGTAAAGTATAAATATAATACTTATTGTTTTGGTTTGTTTCATTTTGACTGACTGGGAATTTGTGAGGGACAGGTGCCACTCCCACCACCAGGCTCAGAGCCATGGGTCAGACATTTTACCTAGGTGGAAAGAAAGATCATAAAACAGAGAAATCACAAGCAATTTTCAAAGGAATTGACTTTATTACCAAGACACAGTGGTGAAGCTTGAGATTAAGAATGCTTTCAAAAGTAAGGGAGGTTGTCATAAAAAGTAATTAAGAGGAAACTGGACATTATATCATTGATATAAGTTAACTATAAGACAGCTAAATTTTCAGAGAGAGGCAAGAATAAAGACATTTGAGAAGAGCCCTCATAGAGTCACAACAAATCTCAAGCATTGACCATAAAAACGTATTTCTACAAGGACTCCAGACCCTTAAAACAGTGATCCAGTTATTTCACGTATTTTTTAATGCATTATTCAGAGTTGTATATTAATTTTAGCAGTATATAGATACACACACATATACATATACACATATACATTTAGTGGTTGCTCTAGAACATAAATATAATAAATTATTTTTAAGTAGGAGGGATTCTACTTTTCAGAGTATATTCCTGTTGTTTTTGTTTGTTTTTCAAATAACATTACAAAATAGAATATGGAAAAACACTTCATTCTGAAGCACTAAAATTTTATCATAGCTCCATATTTATGACTTCTGTAAGAATTGCTCTTCATGATTAGTGGCCCAGCGAATCGCATTTACTGAGGGAAAATTTATGCCTTGAAGACAAATCTCAATATCTGTTTTAGAACACAGAGACTGTTTTTATTCTTCATACATCTTATTTTATAAGCTTCAAAATTTATTATCAATAAAAACCTACCAGAATGGCTAAAATTAATATACAACTCTGAATAATGGGTTGAAAAATATGGAAATAGCTGGATTACTCTTTTAAGAGTTCTGGGAATATAACTGTTAAAGGTACTTTGGAAAGCCATTTTGCAGTAACTATTGAAGGCTAATGTATTTATAACCTACAGCCCACAAAATCACTCGCAGAGACATATCTAAGAGAAATTCATAAATATGTGCAGAAAAGACATGTACAGGAATGTTAACAGCAATATTCATAAGGTCTCAAACTGGAAATAATTCAAATTCCTATCAACCTTAAAATAGGAATAAAAAAATAACTGAAGTTTATTTCAAAATTATATGTTGTTTTGATATATTAAAAAAAAGTTAGATGAATCTCACACATAATATTGCCTGAGCAACACCAGACACAAAGGAACATCTTGGGGTTACTAGATTTACAACAAAATAAGATAATGATATTGAGGACAGGTAATGACTGAGATGGGGAGACGTCAACAAGTACAGGGTGAATAGAAAATAATAGGTGTGCAGGAGTGCCTTAGTTTTGTAAAATTTATTTGACTGCACACTTAAGATATGTGTACTTTGTAAAGGTTATGTTATACTTAAAAAATAACTTTTAAAAATACAAAATGTTATTTCTACTAGGTATACTAGTATCCTTTCATATAATTTATACTTAGGATCTTAATATTGATATTGATATTTTTACTATCAGAAGTATTAAGAGAAAAGAGGTGTTCAGAGAGACAGTCTTTTATATGGAAAGACATTTAAGGGATAAAGGTTAGTGACTAGTAAAAAATATTGTTAAGAAATAAAATCAGCACAAAGCAAGCATTCTGTTCAGCTAACTTATTGTATTTATATTATAACCGTAAAAATTATGCAAATTAAGCACACAGTAAATAAAGAGCATCCTATATAATTTAGTAAACTACATAACCAGGAAAAAATAGAGATTAAGAAAATAATTTTTTTGTCCCATTATTCTCAATACAAGTAAGCACTTGTTAAGAACCTCCTCTTTTATTGTATTATACCTATTCTAGGTGCTAGAAAGACAAGTTTTTTTTTTAAATTGTTTTATCCTATCTCTCAGCCCCTGGCTGTACCATATTCATATCTTATAGATTTCATCTCCATTTCTATTTTTCAGCTTTATCTTTCAGGATATTATGGTGGTTATATCTATGGATAAGAAACTGTTTCGTGATACCCACACTTTTGAGATATATTTTTCTCCTCTAATGAAATCCTTTTCTTCTTTACTAACTGGCCACCTCTTCCCTATATTTCCTTGAGAGACAAGGATCTCTGCTATTTCTAAAACACCCCTGCAAAAAAATAAGAATTCTTGGACCTATGTGCAGAATCTAATGAAGTTACACACCAGGAAATCATGCTGGGCCCTGACAGAGTACATTTATATCGACATCAGCCTATCTTGGTTTTCTGGCTCCACAGATCCTAGATCACCACATGTTTGTGCTCTTCCCTAAAGCTATTGACTCTGCATTTACTACTTCTTTATGAGTAGGCCTAGCCCTTTAAAGTAAAGGTAAAAGCAGAAGGACTTTCTGAGTTAAAGACTATGTAGATTACTCTGAGCCCCATAGAGCAGTTGTCCCCAACCTTTTTGGCACCAAGGACCAGTTTCATGAAATAAAATTTTTTCATGGACCTCTGGCTAGGGGATAGTAGGAGATGATTTAAGTGCATTACATTTACTGTGCACGTTATTTCTATTATTATTACATTGTAATTAATTACACAATTCACCATAATCTAGAATCAGTGGGAGGCCTGGGCCTGTTCAAGCCTTAGATTCTCATAAGGAGTGTGTGCAACCTAGATCCCTCACATTCACAGTTAACAACAGGATTTGTATTCCTTTGAGAATCTAATGCCACTGCTGAACTGAGAGGAGGTGAAGCCCAGGTGGTAGTTTGAGCAATGGGGAGCCACTGCAAATACAGATGAAACTTCCCTTGCTTTCCTGTTCTTCACCTCCTGCAGTGTGGCCCTGTTAATAACAGGCCAAGGACTGCGACCTGTCTGTGGCCTAGGGGCTTGGGACTCCTGCTTTACAGAATATATTGGGAGAGGGAGAATCCATGGTTTCCCATCTGTGCATTTCTGATATCTGAGTATGGTGATCCAAAATGTGCATATTTGAAACTTAATCATCAATGTGATAAGATTAAGAGGTGGAACCCTTAGGAGGACTATAGCCCTCATGAATGGGATTAGTTCCCATATAAAAGAGGTGTGAGGAAGCTGTTCTCCACTCCTGCCCCTTTACCCTTCTGTCTCTTCTGACCCATGAAGATGTAACAAGAGGTGCCACCCTGGAAGCACAGATGGAGCTCTCACCAGACATTGAACCTGCCAGTAACTTGATCTTAGAATTCCCAGCTTCTAGAGCTGTGAGACATTAATTTCTATTATTTATAAATTGTTTCAGTCTTGGGTTTTTTATTATAGTAGCACAAACAGACTAAGACACTGAGTTTTACTTATAGAAAAAGAAACATGAGAAGCCTGAATGAGAACACCTGGTCACAAAATTACATGATGCAGTATCTAGCACACTGATGAAAGCCCTGACAATGCAGGAGAAACCTGGGAACAGCATGACTTGGAAGATCTATCTTGCCCCACAGGTTCAAGCCAACACATTTAAGAACATAAGCCCTTTTCCTACTCTATAGGAGAATATGATATTATGCAGAAAATCTCCACTGAACCATTTCCTTTCATACCTTCTGCTATTGTGCAACTCATCAGGTCATATGTAGCTATTGATCAAATTACAGTTCTCTTTTTTTGCATGCAGTTTTTTACTTCGTAATTTTATTATCACCAAGTGTGGATTTTATTGCTAAGAAAATAAGAAGTAAAATATGACAGCTTGGACAAGGCTTTAATTCTATCTGATAGAAATAATGTTAGGACCTTAGCAACCCATATTTGCATGGTGAAAACAAAACAACTAAATGACCCCACTCTTCCTCCGAGTTTCTCCCTCAGTCTTATTCTCTCTCTCTCCCTAAACCACTTTGCTGCTTTCTGTCTTGTTGATCTGTAACAATTTCTTTTAAAAATTGTTCTTTAAATCTTTTCATTTCCACTAGATAAATGTAATGTCTTTCCCACCTTCATATTGCTTATATTCCTTATGTCACAAATAATTATCTTTCAGCAACAGCAATTTTATGTCATATTCTGTTCTTAAATTATACTTATTTTTAATGTGAAATTTATATCTTGAAACGTAAAACACGTGAAAAGCAAAAATGTGCTTTAAAACCAAATATGTTTTAAAAATGAGTAGTCGTACTATATTCAGCCATTCAGTGGTTTACACGAACACACTCAAATGGAATAAAACAAATTCTACATGGTCTTTCAGTCAAACTAGCTACAGGATTGTGGCTCACATTAGCTTTTGATTTATGTTTGTCTATAATTGTGATTCACTGTGGATTTCATCCAGTTGGGGAAAGCCAACTGCACTGGCATTCTCAGGCACTGTTATTCTCTTCCATGAAAGTAATTTTCCACATCCCTACTATAATTAAGCACAACATTTCACATGAATTAGAGGAAATGTTTATTTCTTTCAGGCTCATATTGAGTTGAAGGGCACCATTCTAGAAACTGCAATGTTAACTAGAGTTTTCATAAATACTGAGGTGGTGAAATGGCCATATCTTTTCTAGAAAATACTCTAGCTCAATGTAGTCATGGGACTATATTAAGATAACCAAGCATGTATGACCACGGCTAATTATTTCAACACATGTAGAAAGATCCAAAAACTATATAACCAACCCACAAGTTTTCTTCTCTGCTCATGAATTTTATAAATATATTATTGCAAAAATCTTCTAAAAATTGTACTTTCATAAAAAGGGATTTTAGTAACATCTTATATGATACCATTTATCTTTCTAGGGTTTTTTTTTTCGCTTTATCTCTTTATTTTTATCAGAGTCCCACTTAGCTTATTATCTGACCTTGACATCACAGCCAAGCCCTAAATCAAAGCATTTTATCACTCTCTATTTTTGCTAAAGAAGATCCTGAACTTTTATTATGCAAGCAATAACTATCTTATTTCTGTGACTTCTTATCATTTCTTTAGCCACATCATAAATAAGTATAATCTTATGTTGACAAAGAAAGTTCTATTATACTTTTTTTGAAGAAACATGGTGAACAAGTTGAATAAGACCTCTTATTTTTTATACTCCTAAACATCTGTTTAACAACTTTAACAACATTTTTAAAACATTTTGTTAAAATGGTACTAAATAATAGTTTTTTTCCAGTTCTGTGAAGAAAGTCAATGGTAGCTTGATTAGGATAGCATTGAATCTATAAATTGCTTTGGGCAGTATAGCCATTTTCACGATATTGATTCTTCTTATCCATGAGCATAGAATGCTAGTTTTTTGAAAAGATCAACAAAATAGATAGACCACTAGCCAGACTAATAAAGAAGGAAAGAGAGAAGAATCAAATAGATGCAATAAAAAATGATAGAGGGGATATCACTACCGATCCCACAGAAATACAAACAACCATCAGAGAATACTATAAACACTTCTATGCAAATAAAGTGGAAAATCTAGAAGAAATGGATACATTCCTGGACACATACACCCTCCCAAGACTAAACCAGGAAGAAGTTGAATCCCTGAATAGACCAATAACGAATTCTGAAATTGAGGCAGTAATTAATAGCCTACCAACCAAAAAAAGTCCAGGACCAGACTGATTCACAGCCGAATTCTACCAGAGGTACAAACAGGAGCTGGTATCATTCCTTCTGAAACTATTCCAAGCAATAGAAAAAGAGGAAATCCTCCCTAACTTATTTATGAGGCCAGCATCATCCTGTTACCAAAACCTGGCAGAGACGAAACAAAAAAAGAAAATTTTAGGCCAATGTCCCTGATGAACATCTATGTGAAAATCCTCACTAAAATATTGGAAAACCAAATCCAGCAGCATATCAATAACTTATCCACCATGAGCAAGCTGACTTCATCCCTGGGATGCAAGGCTGGTTCAACATATGCAAATCTATAAACATAATCCATCACATAAAAAGAACCAATGGCAAAAACCACATGATTATCTCAATAGATGCAGAAAAGGCCTTCAACAAAATTCAACAGCCCTTCATGCTAAAAACTCTCAAAAAACTAGGTATTGATGGAACGTATCTCAAAATAATAAGAGCTATTTATGACAAACCCACAGCCAATATGATACTGAATGGGCAAAAGCTGGAAGCATTCCCTTTAAAAATGGACATAAGACAAGGTTTTGACCAGCTTCTGAATTTATTGATTTTTTGAAGGGTTCTCTATCTCCTTCAGTTCTGCTCTGATTTTAGTTATTTATTGTCTTCTGCTAGCTTTTGAATTTATTTGCTCTTGCTTCTCTAGTTCTTTTAATTGTGATGTTATGGTGTCAATTTTAGATATTTCCTGCTTTCTCTTGTATGGACATTTAATGTTATAAATATCCCTCTATACACTGCTTTAAATGTGTCCCAGAGATTCTGGTTTGTTGTGTCTTTGTTCTCATTGGTTTCAAAGAACATCTTTATTTCTGCCTTAATTTCATTTTTTATCCAGTAGTCATTCAGGAGCAGGCTGTTCAGTTTCCATGTAGTTGTGTGGTTTTGAATAAGTTTCTTAATGCTGAGTTCTAATTTGATTGCACTGTGGTCTGAGAGACAGTTTGTTATGATTTCTGTTCTTTTGCATGTGCTGAGGAGTGTTTTACTTCCAATTTTGTGGTCAACTTTAGAACAAGTGCGATGTGGTGTTGAGAAAAATGTATACTCTGTTGATTTGGGGTGGAGAGTTCTGTAGATGTCTATTAGGTCCATTTAGTCCAGAGCTGAGTTTAAGTCCTGGATATCCTTGCTATTTTTCTGTCTCATTGATCTGTCTAATATTAACAGTGGGGTGTTAAAGTCTCCCAGTGTTATTGTGAGGGAGTCTAAGTCTCTTTGTAGGTCTCTAAGAACTTGCTTTATGAATCTGGGTGCTCCTGTACTGGGTGCATATATATTTAGGATAGTTAGCTCTTCTTGTTTCATTGATCCCTTTACCATTATGTAATGCTTTCTTTGTCTCTTTTGATCTTTATTGGTTTAAAATCTGTTTTATCAGAGACTAGGATCGCAATCTCTGCTTTGTTTTGCTTTTCATTTGCTTGGTAAATCTTCCTCTACCCCTTTATTTTGAGCCTATGTGTGTCTTTGCACGTGAGATAGGTCTCCTGAATACAGCACACCAATAGGTCTTGACTCTTTATCTAATTTACCAGTCTGTGTCTTCTAATTGCAGCATTTTGTCTGTTTGCATTTAAGGTTAATATTATTATGTGTGAATTTGATCCTTTCATTAAAATGCTAGCTGGTTATTTTGCCTGTTAGTTGATGCAGTTTCTTCATAGTGTCGATGGTCATTAAAATTTGGTATGTTTTTGCCGTGGCTGGTACAGGTTTTTCCTTTTCATGTTTAGCGCATCCTTCAGGAACTCTTGATTTCACATGATTTCCAATATTGTAGGGTTTTCTCGCAGGTCTATTAATGCCTAGTGTTCCATTAGTGGAACGAACGCTAAGCATGTGGGAGTTTTATTTATACGCTCTGAAGAAAAACAAGAAAATAACATGTAGGAGTTTTATTTACATCCTACTGCTCAAGGTCATTGCAAAAGTCTGATTTTTCACACAAAAAATTTGCAACTGCTGGCATAAATTGGTGAATTCTTTCTTTATAAAGATCAGAGTTTTCATGAATTACCACAGCATTCAAAATAAACATTTATCAAAGACAAACCAAGTAGTGGCAGAGAAAAATGAACTAATCAAATAGCAAGAATAAGCAAATATGTTCCTGCAACTTATTCTGTGGCTATCTGTAGCTATTTATCATTCATTCATGAGTATAACAAGGTTCATACTATTATTTGGAAAAAGGCAGAGTACCGGTTGATTGACCTCTCAAACAAATAAAAGTTTTTAAAGAGTCTTCCCTATCTTTACTTGCCGGCAACATGCAATCAAGAAAACAAAAATAAAGGAGAATACATAAGCTACTCTAATAGGCCAGAATTTGTAGAGTCTGCTTATTGCAAGGAAGTTGTACATATTTTCTCTTTCAAATTTATCACTAAACATAAAGCCAAGCTTAACTAATTACCTAATTTCTTTATATGTTCATTGATTGGAAAAATATATGTGATATTCATGGGAAAAAAGGGAAAAAACCAGTAAGCCCTTTCAAAGGTCATATTGTCTTCCTCTTCTTTTTTCTCAGCATATTATTTTGAAAATAGCTGCTGATGGCAATTCTTACACAAGACCATTCCTTCCTTTGTAGAATCATATAATTACAAAAATAGTTCAAAGTAGAAATTAAAGCATATGACAATGCAAAGATATGAACATTTGGGAAAACCATAGCACAGGCAGTGCTAAGAGCAGGAAGGGAAGAAAAGAGGGCACAGTGAGAATGGGCCATTTTCTTTATAGTACAATGCCCATGCTGTAGAATATATGATCACTTATAACAATAATAAAAATTGTTAATTAAAATAATAAAGTCCAAATTTGTCTCTGAGATTGTGATGAAGGTTGGGTGAGAAGAGAATCATAGAATTCTCATTATGCACATACAAATATTCTCAAAACGATTCTCATTACGCTTAACCTGCATCTCACTTTCAACCTCTATGATGTATTTCACTTTTTTCATAAAATCTACTAAATTTTAGAATAATTTTTTTACTACATGATTAATGCTCTCTTATCTTGAACGATCATAAGATATTATGGGAAATGTATCCAGTAACCAAGAATTGGCTGATTATTTGTGCCATTAATACTCCTTTGGCAAAAATCCCAGCTTCCTTCTAAAAGTACTGCCATGTTATGTAGCCTAGTGTCAGAGGAGGGTAATGTCTCTGATCATAAATGATCTTTCTGTAAGAAAGACACACACACACACACACACACACAAATAAATATGCAAAATTGTCTTTAAATTGGGGGATTTAATAAAGCTTCCAAGAATTGCAGGTTCCACAAGAAAATGAATTTAGGAAAATAGTTATACTATGCTGTTTATGATAGTCAGCACATCAGATGAGTTGTGCAATAGCCATGGGATCTTTAACCTTCAATGAGATACCATCTGTCTGGTGGTTGCTTTTTCATATTTATATGTATTTTTATTTTTGAGACAGAGTCTCGCTCTGCCACCCAGGCTGGTGTGCAGTGGCACGATCTCGGCTCACTGCAACCTCCGCTTCTGGGTTCAAGCAATTCTCCTACCTCAGCCTCCCGAGTAGCTGGGATTACAGGCACCCTACACTATGCCCAGCTAACTGTTGTATTTTCAGTAGAGATGGGGTTTCACCATGTTGGCCAGGCTGGGCTCAAACTCCTGACCTCAGGTATCTGCTCACCTTGGCCTCCCAAAGCGCTGGGATTATAGGCATGAGCCACCTTGCACAACTTGGTGGTTGCTTTTAAGAAAGGTCCTCAGGAGAGCACCTTTCTGGACACTGGACACTTTGTCTCTTTTTTTATACTCCATTTCTCTCGCTGTTTTGAATCAGCCTCTTCTAAATCCTGAAATATGGTCTATCCTATATTTAATTCCATCTTTCAGTCTTTAAATTCCATTATATTTTTGTGGTGCCAGAATTGAACTCCTTAATATTTTTCCTAGTTCCCAAGCTAAGGAAGCCTCAGAAGTTTCTGCCATCCTTGCCCAGGTTAGGACATGTTTTGATTCTTTTCTCTTTCTGACTTCAATATATTAGACTACAGGAAGCATAGAAGGATAAGAAAACCATTCCTTTCATTTTATGTTTTGTCCATCCAAAGATTTATTGTTTGGTTTATTTAGCCAAATAAATTGGGATATCCACTTAAATGTGCTGGTTCTGTAAATCAAAAATGCTATTTACTACCTTATCTCTAAATTATAAATTAAATAAATGCAAATATCACAATGACCAGGACATTTAAATTGGAATTATAGATATATTATAGTCTATTGGTATATTTTTACTGGAAGTCACACTGGAATCAAAGAGTACTAGATAATCGTTAATTTAAAATGAAAGTGGAGAGTGGTGTGATTCAAAAGTATGAGAAGCAGTTATAGATGCAATACACATAATGGCTGAAGGTCATGAACTCTGAACCAGTCACAGTGAATGCAAATCCTGACTCTGACACTAACTGCTATGTCACCTTGGGTAGGTTACTTCACTCCTCAGTGTTTCATTTTTTTTCATCTGTACAATGATGATTATAGTAGTATCTACATATGCAGTTGTTTCGGAGGTTAAAACCACTTACACCAATTTCTTATCCATGTTGAGCCAATCAACCAATACTATCAAATTATAATATCTTGATACATTCTTCTCTACAGAAGAAATATTACCATCCCAGAGGCTATTTATTATTATTATTATTATTATTATTATTATTATTATTATTATTATTATTTTGAGACAGAGTTTTGCTCTCATTGCCCAGGCTCGAGTGCAGTAGCGCTATCTTGGCTCACTGCAACCTCCCCCTCCCTGGTTCAAGCAATTGTCCTGCCTCAGCCTCCCAAGTATCTGGGATTACAGGCAAGCACCACACCAGGCTAATTTTGTATTTTTAGTAGAGATGGAGTTTCCCCATGTTGGTCAGGCTGGTCTTGAACTCCTGACCTCAGGTGATCCACCTGCCTCAGCCTCCCAAAGTGCTGGGATTACAGGTGTGAGCCACCACACCTGGCCCCAGAGACCATAATTATTGACCACATGAGCCAGGAAATGTTTTCCTTTAATAGTGTCAGAAATATATTGCTAACACAGGGCTTAATAGCTTCATTTTGCTGTGCTTCATTCACTGCCACCTCATTCACTTTGCAATCTTTTCTCAGAGAAGAAAATATCAGGTTCAGTTAAGCAAGTTATCATCCCACTTTGGTTCTACCTTTCAAAGATTTTCCCTGGGGATTGTAATGATGTTTTGAGTATCCCCAAAGTTATCAGTTTTAGGTTTATGTTTAACAATCACATTTCCTCTCAAGTAGTACAATTAATGTCTATTACAGTCGAACTTATCCTTTAGTGGGAAATCCCTATTCTTATTGAAAGTTATTGAGTTATTTTTTGCTTTCTAGAATCAAGTAGCTTAAAAATAAGTAATACTGATATATTGAGGGGTTTATAAATTACATCAGAATACTCCTAGGATGGAATTATGAAATTTATTACTCAATAATGGCCTGAGACAGTATAAAAATACAAATTGTCCATTAATAACTAAGTGTTACCAGAATTCCTCACTTTGTATTGGCAGAATCATGTGGACTATGTCAATTATCAATGATTTTACTTATTCAAATATGTCCATAGATTCATTGGAGAAATGTATTATTGATTTAATCCAATTCTATGTTCTTAAAAATATTAGTATTTTATCTTAGTTGATAGCTTCTGCAAATGCAGTCTCATTTTTTATTTGAATGACTTTTTCTCTCGATTTTACTTGGTCATATCTTTGAACAATACAATAATATGTAGTTCTTGATTTTTTCCTCCCATAATATGGAAAGCCAGAGAAGTGAAATATGAAGCAATCTAAGCCTGCAAATAAATCCTCAAATGACAAGTAGAATTGAAATGCTCTATGTTGATTCAGCAGTCTCTTGAATTATCTCTCTAGCGGACCCCACAAGGCACTGAGTTTCTACCACATTGGGCATGTATCATCTAATCTAACTCTCATAAAACTCTTGGAGACACTGATTTTCAGAGAAGCAAAAAAAATGGCACAACCACATTCTACTTTTGTCTCTTATAATTCTAATAATGATAGAAGAACTTTGTTTCAAATCATGTTTCACAGTCATGTACATCTTAATTTCTTTACTTGAGTTGATGTCATTCAGAAATATTGTTAGTGTGCTTTGCAAATTTATTTTCTTGAAGGACTATATTATTTTATCATAAGAATCCCTAAATAAGAGTCTTACTCCCATTCCTGAGAAAAATTTAAAGTAGTGTGTTTGCTGAATGATATTATTAATATTCCTATTAATAGTTTCTATTTTCCCAAAGTAAAGCCATAGTAAAAAATATTCCCAAATCATTTCCAAGATAATATTAACACTCCAGCAGTTAGACTAAATCAGATGAAAGAATAAGGACATTGATATAAACAAGTATGTGTTCTAGTTGTGAGATATGCTAAGCAGGTCCTATTTTGACTTATTTATTTTTAAAATGAATAATAAAATAGATATCTCCAAGATTTCTTTCAGATTTACATGTTAGAATTTTGATCTTATTAGCTTCTTCGTATTACATTTCTAAAACTATGCTATTTAATATTGTGCCCTCAGCTCTGAGTGTGGAAGATGAATCTTTATGAAACAGAACAATTCATGATCTAGTTTTCATGAGTTATAGTCAAGAAAATAAAACATGGTTTCAACAAGTCACAAGAAGTACATTTATCTATTTACCATTCATCCTTGCTTGTTAGAAACAGATTGGAAATTAAGGAATATAAATAGTATATTTTATTAAAGCAGATTTTTTTTAAATTTCATGGAGGACATAGATCTTGAAAATTCCCAGACAGACATCAGAATTGACCAAGTTACTGTGTAATCTCCCAGTGATGGGAAATCAGAGGAGATTTTTCCACCTCTCTACAAAGCCACTCGATCCTCATCCTAATGCTACATAAGCACATAATTTTGTCTCTTATGCAAATTGCCAGTGCTCTATATTAAATCTTCAGGTTTTTCTTTTCCAGCCATTTCAAGATGTAGGTATTTGAGAATGCCACACATAGTGAGCTGGAGGGTTCCAGAAATGAAAGATATTTTTTCCTGAAACAGTTTATCTTTGAAGTGATATGTGTACAAGCTGATTTATTCTTTGAATTCTTAGCTGTGGTTTCTAGGTCAGAGATTTTAAGATATGCATATAACAGAGAATTTCCAGAAAAGACACCATTTAAAAAAATACAGAATCTAAATGAATGTAATAAAACCTATGCAAATGTAACATTGTTTTGTTTGGTAAATTTACAAATAAGTTAATCATTTACATATTTCTATATACTGTATAGTGTTATTTTAATGTATTCCCCATGAAGGAGATGCCTGCAATGGGAATAGTGACAGGCTGAAATGACCCAACATGTGAGGAATGCAGATATATGAGCTAGTGTGCTATAATAGGAAAGTTTTTATCTCTCTTCAAGATTTGAGCGACAGAAGATCAGAAATGTATATCAAAACATAGTAATGTATTTTAGATGGGAATTGAGAAAAAAATAAAACATTTGCTTAAATAGTAAATTATCATGATATAGGCATTATTATCACCCATGAGGAATAGTTTGGTATTTCTAGATTTATTGTAGGATACATAAATAAGCGTGTGAAAGTTTTTCTATTTTGGAAAGTGGGGGGAAATTGCATTTAATACTGTCAAGTCCCCTGTTAGTCACTTTTCTCATATTTTCTTTTCCACTTATTTTGTGGTTTTTGGCAATGCAAAAAAAGCAGTCACTGCAGGTGGGAAGAAGAGTTCAAATTCTGACCCTAGGTCTTACAAGTTATGTAATCTTGTAGAATTTATTTCGAATCTCTGAGCCAAGGATTCCTCATCTGTTCCAATAAGCTAAATACAGTATATTGGTATATTGTGTAACAGCTGTGATAAATTTATATACACATATATACAAACATACACATACAATACACAGACAGCACAATGGCAGTAAAAGATGATCATGAAATTTAGGTGTATATACTCTGAAGCACATTTCCAATATGTGTGTATTTACCATATCTTGGTTCTCAGAGGCTTGTAGACTTTCAAAAATTGTTTCAAAATTGATTATATATAAAAACATTTATATTTCATGAAAAATATATCTATGGATTAAAAGCTAAACACAACTATACATTTTTAATTGCCATTACCAGGAGTCTGTTTCAGTGTCTTTATTTAATTTTAATTGGAAGGATTTACCTGACAGATGACTTCTGAAACACAGTGTGTTGATCCTATTAAATTCTGCTTGCATAAGATTAAACTTGACTGTCACTGGCATTAGCCATTTTCACTCTCTCATTGACAGAATTGTTCCCAGGGTGACACCTGTGTCCTCTACTTTATTTCTGGTCCAGAGATCTAAGAGAAATATAGAAATATATTGCAACCTTGAAAATATTCTTAGATTATGTTGTTGTTGTTATTAAAAGCTCTGGTTTTATGGAAAAGTAGAATACAATTTCAAATTTTATATGTTCTTTATATGATAACTTATTAATGTTATAGCTAATTATACAGGAGGTTAAATTTCCATTTATACAGTAATTAAATAATTAGAACATTGGACACAACATTTATATTGTACATTTTCTTTGAAAATGAATTATTTTTGAACTAAGTAATTATCCATAATTATCTATATAAAATAATTATCTATATAGGTAATGCTATATAGATATTAATCTATATAGAAAAATTTAATATTTTTGAACTACATAATTATTCATAATTATCTCTATAAAATAATTATATAGATATTTATATAGAAATTCTATATAGATAATTATCCATAATTTATTTAAATTTCCTGAAATAATGATCATTTTAAATTTTAGATGTTTAGGAATCAGAATGTATTTGTATTATTTTACGGTTTAAAGGAATTATTTTCAAAATAAAAAATAATACTTCACTAATTTTCATTTATCCACTTGAATTAATTTTCATGACTAATCTGTTGGATTAGATTATTAAACTTTTGTAGAAAAACACCCATATAATTGTATTTGAGATATTCTTACTTCATACATACAATGTTGCTTGTCATCTTCAATTTGACACATAATATATCATATCATATTTAAATATATTTTCTTTTATAGGTTAAAGTTGCATATCTATTATGTTGTCCATGGAATTCAATACTTCCAAACTTAAGGAAATTTACATATTTCATAATTCTTAGTTTATTGGGTTTCTGTGTACAGCAAAATAGTTTTTTCTTGCACAGTTCTATCTTATTTCTGACATTTTACGAATGGTGGGATACACTGGTATATTATATATTTTTATATTGGGCCAATATTTCTTTATTGAAACATAACTATGTACTCTTAGGTATATTTGCCCAAATAACTGTCTGCAAGGATCAACAAAAACCATATTCAAAAATTTATATTTTATTATGTAAATGTAGAAAATAAATAAGTGCTTTTAACATGGTTTTTTCTATAATAAATGATAAGCATGCATATCTTAGCAAATGTATGTTTACAGAGACAAAAATGTAATTTAAACACAGTTTTAAAAATGTTATGCTAATTACAATTATTTTAATAGATTTGTGTCACCTTTGAGATCATTCAACCGATCTTTTGAAAATTAAGAAGCACATCGATTAAGGAGGCCTGAATTTCACATGCTAATATGAGACTCTGAAAGCTATTCCCTGAATTAAGGATAAAGTATATCAGATAACTAAGACATTTTTTGTGATTAATGGAGAGAACAATTACCAGAGGTATATATTAAAAATATTTTTTAATCTCTGATGCAGAGAATGGACTAATCTATCTAATGACAAGTTCAATTAGAGCCAACATCTGTTTGACTTTAAGATACATTCCTAGAGTAAATAAATAGCCAAATTGCGGGATATGTGGCAATCCTTGGTACAAATGACATTGGAAGAAGAGACGTTTTTTCTGTTCTTTTTGAAATATGTAAAAAGAGTGGGTGAAACATTAAAATAGGCATTATATTTACCCCTTAGGATGTCAACTATGAAAAAGTAACACATGTTATTTAAAACTCAGTTTATACATAAAATGTAAAGAGATAAATTTTAAACTTTCTATTCTAATAGAGATCACAAAGTGTAGGCATTTAAACTATTTCAATATTGACAGGAAGAAAATAGCCAAATCCAATAGAAAAATAGGGAAAATATATGAAGAGGAATTTTACTGTGGAGCAAATCCGAATAGTCAATACAAACATGAAAACATGGTCAAATTTACTGATGAGGGATGCAAATTAGAGCAACAACAATATGTAATTTTAGAATAATACAAGTATCAAATTATAATAGACCTCTATGTAATACGTAATTTTTGCAGCAGTGAAGGAAAAAGGGTGATCTTATACATTGTTGAATGAAGTGAAAAGAGTAACAATTTTAGAAAGCAATGTGCAAACCAATGTTAAAACTAAAAATATTTCAACAACCCATCAATATTATTCATTTGTTACATTCCAAGATTACATATTATATATTATGTAGCAAACAAATGTTACCAGAATAGACGCATTGGGTAATTTATTGAAATATTTTTTATATAATGCAAAAAAAGAAATCAAAATGAAAAAAGCTGATAAAGTATGCTACTTCTTTGTCATGAAATATTATGGTCATTAAGTAGACTATTTTTAGTCATTATTTTCACTAGTACACTTGGGGTTATTTTTACAATGCATTGCTGGATGAGAAAAGCAGGATTTAGAAAACTGTGTAGGAAATTCTATTTTTGGAAATAATAACATTAAAGAAATGTGCCTTTGTATTTACCTCTAAACACATAAAAAATTAATGTATGGGCTCAGCAAGTGATATAAAAGAACACAGCTAAAACTTTCAATATTGATTTCATTCCTGATGGTATGAAAGAGTGAAGGCAGAAGGAGAAAGCTGATGTTAATCTATTCTATTCTATATTATTTTTTCCCTTACTATTTAAATATTATATGCACCATACAAATTATTATTTACTTCTGTAAGGTATCATGAGTGCTCAGAAATAACATTTGGTTGTTTTGGAAACCTGATCTTTGGTATATTTTTAAAGTGAATAATGGAAGAAACTTTTGTAGTCCCAAACTTACTCAAGTCAAAACTTCAATGTAATGAGAATAAATAAGCCATGTGTCGTTTTCTGTTTCCTGTCGCTTTAACAGAATATAGCAGACTGGGTAATTAATAAAGAAGGGATGCTTATATTGCTCAAGGTTCTGAAGGCTGAGAAGTTCAAGAGCATGGCAGTGGCATTCAGTAAGGAGCCTTCCTTGTTGGAAAGTCAGAAGGCAGAGGCGAGCATAAGGGACAGAGAGAGGTAACAGTGGCCAAACCTGCTTTATAGCACACACTCACAGTAACTCATCCACCCTTGTGATAGCGTTAATCCATTCATGAGGGCTTCACCTTCATTACTCAATCACTTCTTATTGGGTCCTCACTGCTTAACACTGTTACAATGGCAATTACGTTTTTAACACGTGGAATTTGGGAGGCACATTCAAACCGCAACACCTTGATTCTCCCTATTTACATTTTTAGAGTCCACACTTAAGCATTTTAGTTTAGTTCATTTATGTATTCCAGTTTAGTTTCTGGAAAAATATAAATTCTTAGTCAATACAAAAACTAATTAATTTTTTACCAAGTGACTAGTCAGAAACTAGTTGCAAACTGTTAGATTTATTTGATTACATTGACTTGTCAGTGAACTGTGGCAACAAGTTAATACATTTTCAATCAATTGAAATAATTTAACTCATTTAGACTGAAATTAGCAAAGAGAAAATGATAATATTAAATGGCAACAAAGCCTAAAGTAAAGTGTGTGGACTTTAGGACTTTTCTGGACCTGACATACACTGTTAGAACTGTTAATATATGTTATATTAAGCAGACATTGATTGTCAAAAATTAGTGTATAATATTATATGCCAATCTTTCTATGATTAAGCGTTCTCAAATAAGTGATTGCACTTATGTCTCTAAGTAAGCTCTGAAATGGAAATAATAGTTTTCATCTCCATTAATGTAATTGATATTAATAAATAACACCATAATTATAAATTAATAAGGTATCTACTTCCTTATATGAAAATGTCATAAATTTATAATACAATGGGAGGCTTTTATTTTTATTCCGAAATTAAGGAAATATAAACATAAAATTTCATGATAAAAGATATGACAAAATAGATGCTAATACATTACTCAAAGCCCATTATTATACTTGAAACAAAAATTTATCTTCTCATTTCATGAAATATCAAGAAGACAAAGTGTTATGAATATCCTATTGCAAAAAAGCATCTATTTTATTATTAGAACAATCTTTTAACTATTACTATCTGATGAAATGGATTTTCATGTGCACAATTTCAGACTGTAAAAAAGAATGATTTATTTATTTGTTTTTACTATAATCTCCTCAACACTGAAAATCCTCCTTTCAAACCTGCACCAATTCTGGCCAAATATAAAGTATTCATGGATTAAACCAATACAAAGTTATGGCCAGAACAGTCAATATGCAAGTGACATGGATTTAGGATTTACGTCTGTCAAGAATGTGTTATCTTGAATCAACATTAATGTTACAAAACAACACCACAACACCACTCCTCGAACCATGCAATTAACAGAAACCACATTTCTAATTGTGCTATAAAATGCAACTTTGTTTGCTTTTAGAAATCTTATGAATTATATAGTATCGTGGAATTTCCTGCTGCCAGTAAAACTGTACTAGTAATATTCAAACTAATTTGAGCACATATATCTATTGAACCTTGATGAAGGATTGCCACAAATAATTTAATACTAAGTTTAGGGTATTGAAAACATTATTAGAATATGACTTCAGAAATATTGTTCCAATATATTTGGAACTATTCATGGTGCTAGCCCCAGTAATAAATAGAATGAGTACATATTATTTATTTGAATCATAGGATGAGAGTTTTATCGTATAAATTTATATATGATACGATATGATATGAAGTTTTAGTCCTCTATACACTTGCTACCTAAGGATGAATTCTTTTTTAGACTTTATACTTTCAATTCTACACATACCATTAGAAAACATCAAATTATTTTAAAAGTATTCAAAATATTATAAATTGTATGAATTTTAAAATTATTTTGATAATATGCTGTTTCATTTACACTTGTATTTTATTTTCCTTTTGTCAAGGGTTAAATCAAACAGTATCTCCAATTTAGTGATTCTGTGCAATATTAGTAGAAAGAAAACAAGAACAAAAATAACCACAGGACAGAAAGAAAAAAGTATCAATTTCATTTTTATTTTTAACTGAAGTACCACATTTTCTGTTATTGGAAAAAAATAACTGCAGAAATTATCCTGTCTCTATGAAATTTTTGTCTTTGAAATTCACTTAAAAATACATAGAACCTTTGAAGGACCTTATTAGCTTCTTATCTTTTAATATTCCCCAGCTATTAAATCTTATTCAAATCCCTCTTTCTTAAAATATTAAACCAATATTAATGTATTTCTTCTAGCTTGAAGGAATACTTGGATGAAATAGAAGCCATCTTTTATGAATGTCATTTTTTGGAACCAGTAGAGTGTCTACAAGTTTGGTGGGTAAAGATAAGCATGGGAGTTAAAGTTTTTTATAGATATTATTTAAAAATGACTTTCAGTACACTGTAGACATGCAAAATAAGACTCATGTCAGAAATTAAGAAAAGCAGCATGTTTGAGAGAAAACTTAGAGATATAAGGGATACATTACAGAAAAATGACAGAGAAGGGGACACCAATGTAGATTCTGATCACACGCAGGATGAAAACAATACAAATACATTCTATTAAAAGCATGGGAATAATCTTAAGTTTTTGTTAAAATGAAAGTTTATGTAGACCACTTAAAACAATTATTTCCAAATTCCGTCAATATAACATAAGTCAATAGACCTAATTTTGATTTTAGATATTTTTTCTCCATACACTAGTAGTAGCTTGAATTTGTCATTTCCTACAAAGACACATAACTAAGCATTTGGCTGTCTAGGCCAATTACCTGTATGTGTGTTTGTTTTTTCCCTAAGAACATACAATCAGAAGATGTAATGTTAATAAATCTGATTAAGTATACTAATGTAAATTAGTTACAGTTTAATACAGTGGATAGAACATTAGACTGGCAGTCCAGAAACTAGCATTTTTGCATGAGCAAGGACATCACTTATGTGACTTTGTAGAATATTTGTGATATGGTCATATCATTCCATAGAACAAAATGACTTAATCATTTATGTTTTAGAAATTCATATGGGCTCTTATTCCTTCCACCCATAACATTTGATACATTCTTCAAAATATACTAGAATTTTTAATTAAGATGTGAAAGGAGAGGTCAATGTTTTTTCTATTACAAAATGTCTATTTTAATGATGAGTAAGGAGCATGAATGTATTCAATGATTTAGAAGCAATTAATTACACAAAGATTAGATCAGAATAATGTGAATTAATTTTGGACAGTTATTACTGGTCTTTGATAGATCATGCAAGGGAAAAAAGTCCTTGGAATTCATTTTACTTCTGCCTGTGAAAAGATCACAGGTACATTTACAGTCAAGAGACTTCATAAGTCTTAAAATTTGTGACAGGAACTTGAAGAACTCAGGCAATAAAGAAAGCTAGAGACTGAGTATCCTTTAATTTGCTCTGAATTATCATGAGGATGCTGCATACCATGGAGGTATTAAAAGTGTGTGATTTATTTGCTTTGTTTTGTCTGAATGTTCAGCATTGTACTGCTGTCTCTAACAGTAAGATATATTTATACGTAAGTTAGCACCATTTAACTCCTTAACTCTATGGGGAAAAAAGTCTGTCAGATGATTCAATGAACATCACCTTATATCAATGCCAATTTTCTTTACATCAAACATAAAGAATTCATTGAAATATTTTTATAATAACTCAGCAGATGTAAAAGGAATGGCAGAATTTGGAAGACATGAGTGAGAAAAATCTTTAATTCTTCCTTCCTTCCTTCCTTCCTTCCATCTCTTACCCTTCAGAATAATAAAGACAAAAAAGAGTAAGAAAAAAATCCAAGATGGGCAAGTAGCATTATGCCTGTTGTCAGTTTTTGTTTATTTGTTCAATAATCATTTGATAAAGGTAAGTGGCACATTTAAATTATTTTTTGAACACCTTGGAACATAGAATTTAAATAGAAATTGGAATAACGATTATATAATTCAAACTTTCACACTATGTCCACCATGTAGGCAAGAATGTTCTTTTAAATTGCCAGGAAATTCCTTAGTGACAAAAGAAATGGGAAGCAATGTGTGATTCCAATAAAACCATAAAGTCCATATATTTTGGGGAATTGTTTCTATTTAAAATTTATGTAATTCTGTTATGTTTTTGAAGTACACAATTACACACACCATCACCAACTGCAAATGAAAGAAAGATCTTCAGTAGTATGTCATTTTGGTGGCAATCACACTTAAGGATAGGGATATTTTCTGCTGATTTGAAGAAGGATAATCTACATAAATTATTTAGAATTCTTCTGGACATGCGATTTGATCATTCTCCCTATTTACTTATTTTTCAGTAATTTATTTATATCTATGTGGACCTGGGGTATTTATTTTAAATGTAGAGAGATAATCTAATATATTATGCATTTTCTGCTCAATTTGGTCCAGCTTTTGCTATTGAAAAATCTTTCGGGTGAAAGGTGTCCTTTTGACATATTCCCAAGGGGTGTGTGTTTGTGTGTGTGTGTGTGTTTGTGAGAGAGAGGAAGAGAGAGAAAGAGAGAGGGGAAGAAAGAAAGAGAGTGATATAGAGAGACACAGAGAGTCTGTGTGTATGTTTTGTGCACTTTATTAACTTCTGCAACTGTAAGATGCTCCAGGCTAATCCTGTAGATTTCTTCCCCTGTGATAGATTCTTCCATTTATTCAAAGAACGTTAGTTTCTTTTATTGAATAATAGCATTCAAAACCTAAATCTGGCTGCTAGATGTTCTCATTATCAATGAGCATTGTTAGCCCATTTTCATACCACTATAAAGAACTGCCTGAGACTGGGTAATTTATAAAGGAAAGAAGTTTAATTGCCTCAAAATTCAGCATGGCTGGGGAGGCCTAAGGAAATGTACAATCATGGTGGAAGGCAAAGGAAAGGCAAGGCACTTTCTTCACAATGTAGCAGGAAGGAGAAGTGTCAAGCAAAGTGGGGAGAGCCCTTTATAAACCCATCAGATCTCATGAGAACTCACTCACTATCATGAGAACAGCATGGGGGAAATTCATAATTCAATTACCTGGTCTCTCCGTTGATGTGTGGAGATTATAGAGATTTTAATTCAATATGAGATTTGGGTGGGGACAAAAAGCCTACCCATATAATTCTGCCCCTGTCCCGTCCAATATCTCATGTCACCATCACACTTCAAAATCAATCATGCCTTCCCAATAGTTCTCCAAGGTCTTAATTCATTCCAGCATTAACCCAAAAGTCCAAGTCCAAAGTCTCATCTGAGGCAAGGCAAGTTCCTTCCACCTATGAGCCTCTAAAATCAAAAGCAAGTTAGTTCCTAGATACAGTTAGAGTACAGGATTCCTAGATACAGTTAGAGTACAGGCATTGGGTAAATACATCTGTTCCAAATGGGAGAAATGTGCCAAAATAAAAGAGCTACAGGCCTCATGCAAGTCCAAAATCAAGCAGGCACTCAAGTCTTAAAGCTCCGAAAGCATCTCCTTTGATTCTATGTCTCATATCTGGGTCAAATTGATGTAAGAGGTGGGTTCCTATGATCTTGGGCAGCTCCACCCCTGTGGCTTTGCAAAGTAGAGCCTCCGTCCCAGCTGTTTTCCTGGGCTGGAGTTAAGTGTCTGCAGCTTTTCCAGGCACACAGTGCAAGCTGTGTGTGGATCTACCATTCCGGGGTCTGGAAGACAGTGGCCCTCTTCTCACAGCTTCACTAGGCAGTGCCTCAGTGGGGACTCCGTGTGGGGGCCCCAACCCCACATTTTCCTTCTGCACTATCCTAGCAGAGGTTCTCCATGAGGGGTCCACCCTTCAAACAAACTTCTGTATGGAAATCCAGTCACTTCCATACATCCTCTGAAATCTAGGTGGAGGTTCCCAAACATCAATTATTGGCTTCTGTGCACCCACAGGCCCAACATCATGTGTAATCCACCAAGGCTTGAGGTTTGCACCCTCTGAAGCAATGGCCTGAGCTGTACTTTGGCCCCTTTTAGCCATGGCTGAGACACAGGGCAACAAATCCAGAGACTGAACAAAGCAGCAAGGCCCTGGGCCCAGCCTAGGAAACCATTTATCCCTTCTTGGCCTCTATGCCTATGATGGAAGGGGCTGCCATCAAGACCTCTGACATGTCCTTGAGACATTTTCCCCATTGTCTTGGTGATTAACATTTGGCTCCTGGATACTTATGCAAATTTCTGCAGCTGGCTTGAATTTCTTCTTAGAAAATGTTTTTTTCTTTTCTATCACATAGTGAGACAGCAAATTTTCCAAAATTTTATGCTCTGCTTCCCTTTTAAACATAGGTTTTAATTCCAAACCATCTCTTTGTGAATGCATAAAACTGAATGCTGTTGACAGCACCCAACTCACTTCTTAAATGCTTTGCTGCTTAGAAATTTCATTTGCCAGATACCCTAAAACATCTCTCTCTAGTTCAAAGTTTCACAGATCTCTAGGGAAGGGGCAAAATGCTGCCAGTCTTTTTGCTAAAGCATAACAAGTGTAGCCTTTATTCCAGTTCCCAACAAGTTTCTCATCCCCATCTAAGACCACCCTCACCTGGACTTTATTGTGCGTATCACTATCGGCATTTCAGTCAAAGCCATTCAACCAGTCTCTAGGAAGTTCCAAATTTTCCCACATCTTTGTGTCTCTTCTGAGCCTTCCAAACTGTTTCAACCTCTGCCTGTAACCCAGTTACAAAGTTACTTCTGCATTTTCAGGAATCGTTACAGCAGTGCCTCACTATCTTGGTTCCAATTTACTGTATTAGTCTGTTTTCATACTGCTATAAAGAACTGTCTGAACCTGTGTAGTTTCTAAAGGAAAGGTTTAATTGACTCAGTTCAGCATGGCTGGGCACGCTTCAGAAAACCTACAATCATGGGAGAAGGTGAAGAGGAAGCAAGGCACCTTCTTCAAAGGCAGCAAGAAGGAGAAGTGCCAAGTGAAGGGAGAAAGTCCTTTACAAAACAATCAGATCTCATGAGAGCTTACTATCACAAGAACAGCATGGGGGAAACTGCCCCCTGAGATTTAATTAACTCCACCTGGTCTCTCCCTGGACACAAGGTGATTATGGGGATTATAATTCAAGATGAGATTTGAGTTTGGACACAAAGCCTAATCGCAACAAGTGCCATCACTTCTAGACCATTTTAACTCACAGAAAATAAATATATGTGTGTATACTAAACTGCATATGAACACACACCTAAAATATATCTATATGTAATTATCCATATCGACATTAAGCAGAACATGAGTTCATACTGATGTTCCCCTACTCTAATCCATAACAACATGGATTATCCATCCTCTCATTGATGATCTTAATATCCCACTGTAAATGTAAGAAATTGTTTCTCAACATTCACAATTCACTTAGTTAGTTTCATACATGTAGAACAGTATTATAGTTGTCAACTGTACTCCTGTGGGAAACAACACTATCAATTAGAGTATAATTTGTACAGTTTGTTTGACATTTAGTGTTATAGTATCCATTTAGAACATAACCTAGGTCAGCACTGCTCCTTTCCATATTTCCTCAGTGAGATTGTTTCATACATTTAGAATGCAGTTACGTTATCTTGTCATACCCTGCATTCTACCCTAGTATCCCATGATCTCTTAAACCCCATTAAAAAGTGAGCAAAGGACATGACACTCCTCCAAAGATGATATACATGTGGCCAATGATCATATGAGAAAAAGCTCAACATCACTGATCATTAAAGAAATGCAAATCAAAACCGCAATGAGATACCATCTCACATCGGTCAAAATGGTTATAATTAAAAAGTCAAAAAATAACAGATGTTGGTGAGGTTGTGGGGAAAAAGGTGTGTTTATTCACTATTGGTGGGAGTGTAAATTAGTTCAACTATTGTGGAAGAGAATGTGGTGATTCTTCAAAGACCTAAAGACAGAAATGTCATTTGACCCAGCAATCCCATTACTGGGTATATACCCAGATGAATATAAAATGTTCTATTAAAAAGACACCAGACATGCACGCATATATTCACTGCAGCACTATTCACAACAGCAAAGATGTGGTATCAACTGCTCATCAATGATAGACTGGATAAAAAAAATGTGGTACATATACAAGGTGAAATATTATGGAGCTGTAAAAAAGAGCAAGATTATGTACTTTGCAGAGACATGGATGGAGCTGGAGGCCATTATTCTTAGCAAACTAACAAAGGAAGAGAAAACCAAATACCATATATTTTTCACTTATAAGTGGGAGCTGAATGATGAAAACACATGGAAACACAGAGAGGAACAACACACACTGGGACTTTTTGGAGGGTGGATGGTGGGAGGAGGAAGAGGATCAGGAAAAAGAACTAATGGGTACTAGGCCTAATACCTAGGTGATAAATAATCTGCACAACAAACACCCCTGACATGTTTACCAATGTAACAAAACTGCACATGTACCCCTGTGCTTAAAGTACAAGTTTAAAATATATGAATATATATGTATATGTGTATATACACATACGCTTACATATATACATACATATAAATACATGTGCATATACATACATACCCATATATGTTACCCATATATGTATATATACATATATGGGTATGTATGTATATGTATTATATGTTATATATGTATATTATATATAATATACTTATATGTGTGTATTATATATTATATACTTATATGTATACATATATATACACACACTTTAAACTTCACCCTTTTGCTATAAAATACAATGGTTTTGACAAATGCAGTGTAATGTATTACCATTACAGAAAGATGGAATAGTTTCATTTAACCTAAAATTCACACTTTTTTACCTACTTAAACTCCCCCTGCCACATACACACAAACATGTCCCATGGCAACAGCAATGTGTTTGTTATATTTATAGTTTGGCCTTTTATAGAATGCTATATGATTGGAATCACACAATATGTAGCTTTTTCACAAGATTCCTTTTATTTGGCAATATGCATGCATTTATGCAGGTATTTGCATAACTACATAGCTCATTTCATTTTAGTGCTGAATGTTAGTCTATTGTGTGAATGTACCATGGTTTTTAACACATTCACTTTTTAAAGGACATATTGGTTGCTTACAATTTTGAGTGATTATGATTAAAGCTGCAATAAACATTTATTTTCAGGTTTTCATGTAGAAATATGTTTTCCAAGCAGTTAAATCACCTAAGAGTGTGATTGCTGGATTCTGTGGCAAGAATGCTTAGCTGTGTTAGAAACTATCAAAGTATCTTGTAAAGTGGATGCATCGTTTTGCATTCCCACCAGCTATGAACAAGCATTCCTGCTGGCTAGCATCATTGGCAGCAATAGGAATTGCCAATTTCCATATCTTAGTCATTTTAACAGATGTGTAGTAGTGCTCATGAAAGGAAGTATTCAAGGAAATCAAATAATAAATTTTCAATGTTGTTTTCCTAATACTCAAAGGATAAGTTTCTTAAGTGAACATAAATTTTTTAAAAATGTTCTATATGTTTGCTTAAGGTGTCGCCTAAAATTATATCTTATTTTCCACTTCTATTTTGTATACTTTGTCATTGATAATATGAGACCTGACAGTGTTCATACATTTTCTAAAAGAAGTAGAGCTTTATAAGAATAAATCTTTATAATATCCAATAAAATTAAATCAATATTATGATAATGTCCAGTTATACAGAGTCATGCTTTTAAATATATTTCTCTACAGAGGAGTGAGTTAATGTCTTCTGGTCAGAAGAGAATCATTATTTACATAATCACTGAATGCTCCATACTTTTCTGAAGAAAATAAACTCAAAATCTGAATTCATGTTACTTTAATTATACCAGGGAATAAAATAGATTCCACCGAACCTTGGTAACTTGAGTCACATTGTCTTGATGCTTAGTCCAATTTACTGTGGATTTGACGTTTGTATACAATTGCAAAGTACAATTCTTGTTTTGTTTTAATTTTCCTACATAAAATAAAGGGTAAGTATTAATTAGTTCATCCTGCTACAAAGTAATCTATCATAGATATGTAACCTATATAATAAGCAAACAATAGTATAAAGAAGATAGTCTGGATCTGACCTTTTGTTGTGTTGAAAACTATGCTAAAGAGTAAAAAACATGACATTCTGTGTGATGGAAAACACAAAACTCGTCAGGAGAAAAGAAGAGAGTATAAGGCAGGTAAAAGGAATCAGGAAATTAATACAAAAGTATAACATGAATCACTTAAAATTATAACAAAAGTAATATATTTTATTAACATAAATAATTTAACAAAATTATCTTGATAAGATTTGAGACAGTAATAAAAGTTAGCCAAGACACCGTAGAAAGGGCATGATCTGCATGAAATATATCTAATTCAAAAATATATAAAGATTACAAATACAAGTTTAAAGGATAACTTTGTTTCTCAATTATATGGAATACTATTACAAACAGTCACATAGAATAGTAGTAAATAAAGTATGGCAACAAAGTCTTAGAGAAGTAGATAAAGAAGTACACCTGTGGTATCAAGTATGTGGGCCATTTATTAGTATTTATCTTCTTGAAAGAAAGCTAACACTAAGAATTTTACCGAAAAGCTAACTGTATTTCTCTGGAATGTTCATTATAAAAATGGAGTATAACGTCATCTGTGTTACTTCTTGATGTTTTATTAATTCCTGAAAAGATGGATTATGGTGATGTTTATAATGATGATGATGATGATGATGATTTGTTGAGCAGGCACTACTTGGCAAGACCTCATTGAGTTCTTGACTTTTACTATGCTATTTAATATTCTTATCTCCATTTCATATATGGAGAAACTGAGACTTGGATTAAGTCGTTTGTTCAAGATCTCATAAGAGGGAGAATCAGCATATGAAACTTTTAAATCTTGGAATGTTGTCAAGTAGGTTTTCAACCACTGCACTAGTCTGACTGCCTGGAGAGGATGTGACTATCACGGTAATTATAGTTTCGTGGGCATTATACGATGACACAGCAAAGAAGAAAAGGATCATATGTTTTTATTACACCATTAAAATTCAAGTTTCATTCATTAAAATTCACAGTGGTTCATGCCTATAATCCCAGCATTTTTGCAAGCCAAATTGGGCCGTTCACTTAAACTCATGAATTTGAGACCAGCCTGGGCAACATGGCAAAACCACATCTCTACAACAAATAGAAAAATTAGTTGGGCATGGTGGTGCCCATCTGTAGACCCAGCTACTCTGCAGGCTGAGGTAGGAGCATGACTTGAGCCAGAAAGTCAGAGGTTTCAGTGAGCTGAGATTGTGCTATTACACTGCAACGTGGGTGATAGGGCCAGACCTTGTTTCACAAAGTAAAAACAAAAATAGAAATAACTTTAATTTCACAGTTTATTTTAAGTAACAGTAAACTATGAAATATTGAATGCATATTCGTGACCATTAATTATTTTATAGACAACACCTAGATTACCTTACACATTTATCCTAAAAGAAAGTTGATTGTTAGATATAACATCAAAAGCATGAGAAACAAAAGAAAAATGGAATAAATAGGACTTCATCAAAATTACAAAGGCTTGTGCTTCAGACGACACTATTAAGAATGGTAAAAGACATTTCAGATGGCAGACTAGAGGCACCTGACACTTGCCTCCCCCGTAAAGAAGGACAAAACCAATGAGCAGACAACTAGCCATCGTATAGAGCTTCTAAGAGAGAAGACTGGAATTCAGCATGGAAGTGACAAGGAACCCCTGATGAACAGGAGAGGGAAGCAAAGCATTCAGTTGGGCCAGGAATGGCTTGGAGAGAGGCAGCACTCCCCATTGCAGTAAAAAGGTAAGTGGGAGATTGTCAGCAGTCTACACTATCACTGTAGACTTCTGCACTCCTAGCCATGGAGTCCCTTGACCCTTGGGGCCCTGTGACTAATACAGAGTGCTGCCTAGAGTTCAAGTGACAGCATTGTTCCAGAGAGAGTGTTCACACTGAGGCCCACACACCCTCCTAAGACCCAAGCAGCTGAAGCATAACATCATTATGAGAACCTGGCCCCCACAAGAATACACCCTGCTCTGAGTCCCAACAGCCCCTGTACCTCTACATCTCTGGATGCCCAATTACTTTTTCTCATGCCCACCCAGAGGGCTGCAGCATTATGACACCAGCTGGATCAACCAAGAAGAAAAGTGAAGACCCAGATAAATTATATAGGAAAGAAAAAAGGAGACATTACAAATTATATGACAAAGTACAAAGAATCATTAAAGACTATTGTTTGCTAACAAATTAGAAAACCAAGAGAAAATGGACGAAATTTTGTAAATCAACAACCTAGCACAATTAAACCAGAAAGAAATATAAAACCTGAATAGACCAATAAAAGTAATGTGGTTGATTCAGTAATAAAAAGTATAAAAAGCATCCCAACACAAAAAGGCCAGGACTGGATGAATCTACTACTGAATCCTACCAAACTTATAAAGCAGAACTAATACAAATTCTTCTAAACTATTGTCAAAAATTGAAGAGGAAGGAATTCATACTAATTCATATTATGAGGTCAAAATTAACCTAATAGTAAAATCAGACAAGGACACAACCACCAAAAAAGAGAATACTACAGGCCAATATCTCAAATACGCACAGATGCAAAAATCCTCAGCATTTTACTCACAAACCAAATTCAACAACACATCAAAAAGATAATTCACCATAACCAAGTATTGAAGCCCATTGTTCTCACAATCAAATCTCATTGCTGGGATTTTTTCCAAGGATGCAATGATGTTTATGTAAATCAATAAATATAATAATCACATCAACAGAATGAAAGACAAACAACATGTGACTTTTTTTCAAGACCTATTGAAAAAGCATTTGATACCATTTAACATCCCTTAATAAAACAAACTAGTTATAGAAGGAGCATATCAAAATAAAAGAGGCCATGTATGGCAGGCCTACAACTTACATTGTGCTGAATAGGGAAAAACTGAGATACTTTTTTTAAAGAACTGGAAAAAGACAAGGATGTGCACTTTAACTACCATTCAACGATGTACTGGAAGTCCTAGCTAGAGCAATGGGGCAGAGAAATAAATACAAGTCTTCCAAATGTGAAAACAGAATGATAAATAGTCTCACTTTGCATATAACATAATCTTTTATTGAGAAAAATCTAAAGACTCCACCAAAAAGCTCTTAGAACTAATATATGAATTCAGTTAAGTTTTAGGACACAAATCCAACATACAAAGAGCAGTAGCATTTCTGTACACCAATAACAAACTAGCTGAAAAAATTTCAAGAAAGCAAACCCACGTACAACAGCTCTAAAAAATAAAATACCCAGGAATAAATCTAACCAAGGTAGTGAAAGACCTTTGTGATGAAACTATGAAACACTTCTGAAAGAAATAGAAGAGGATACAAACAAATGTAAGGACATCCCATGCTCATAGATTGAAAAAATTAATATTGACTATACTACTCAAGGTAATTTACAATTATTCAATTAATAATAATTAATAATTTACAATTACCTAAGGTAATTTGATTTAATGCAATCCCTATTAAAATGCTAATGCCATTTTCAACAAAAATAGAAAAAATCTAAAATTATATGGATCCACAAAAATATCCAAGTCACTAAAGAAATCCTGAGCAAAAAGAACAAAGCATCATGCTACCTGACTTCAAAATATGCTACAAAGCTATAGTAACCAAAATAGTATAGTATTGAAATTAAAAACAAACACCAATGGCCAATGGAACAGAACAGGTAATTCAAAAATATATCTATATCAACTAATTCTAGACAAAGGTATCAAGAACAGACATTGGGGAAAAGACACCCTTTTCAATAAACAGTGCTGAGAAAACTAGATATCCATACGTAAAAAATTGAAACTAGACTCTTACCTCTCACCATATATAAACATCAACTCAAAATAAATTAAAGGCTCACACTTAAGACCTGGAACTATGAAACTCCTAGAAGAAAACACAGAATGAATTAGCCAGGACTTTGGTCTAGGCAAAGATTTTGCAGCTAAGACTTCACAGGCACAAACACACACGCACAAAAAAAAACACAACACGGGCAACAAAAACAAAAATAGACAAATGGGGGCCAGGCATGGTGGTTCACACCTGTAATCTCAATGTCTTGGGAGGCCAAGGAGGGGGGATTGATTGAGGCCAGGAGTTTGAGACCATCCTGGGCAACGCAGCAAAATCATCTCTATAAAAAAATTGGAAAATTTGTCTGGCATGGTGGCACATGTCTGTAGCCCTCGCTAATTGAAAGACTAAGACAAGAAAACCACTTGAGCCCGTGAGTTCGAGCCTGTGCCACTGAACTCCAGCCTGAGCAACAAGGAGAGATCATGTCTCTAAATTTAAATTAAAAAAAAATAGACAAGTGGGACTATATGAAGCCAAAAACCTTCTGCACAGGAAAGGAAACAGTTCACAGAATGAAAAGACAACCAATAGGATGGGAGAAAATTTTTTTATCTATTCATCCAATAAGAAACTAATATCCAGAATACATGGGGAACTCAAACAAAGCAACAGCAAAAAGTAAATGAATTATTGCATTAAAGTGTGGTCAAAGAACACAAACAGACATTTCTCAAAAGAATACATACAAATGGCCCACAGGTATACAAAAAAATGCTCAACATCCCTAATCATCAAGAAAATGCAGATCAAAACCACAATAAGATACCATCTCACCCAAATTAGAATGGCTGTTATCAAAAAGACAAAAACTAACAAATGCTGGTGAGGATTCAGAGGGAAGGGATCTCTACTACACTGTTGGTGAGAAAGTAAATTAGCACAGCCACAATGGAAAACAGTATGGAGGTTTCTCAGAAATCTAAAAATAGAACTACCATATGATCCAGCAATCTAACTACTGGGAATTTATCCAAATGAAAGGAAAACAGGATATCAAAGGGATACTTCCACTTCCATATTTATTGCAGCACTGTTCACGATGAACAAGATATGGAACCTAAGTGTCCATCAAATGAATGAATGGATAAAGGAAATGAATTAGATATACTCAATGGAATACTATTATGCTGTATATAAAAATGAAATCTCTTCATTTGCAGCAATATGAATGGAACTGGAGGTGTTTAGGTTAAGTGAAATAAGCCAGACCCAGAAAGACAAATATTGCATGTTATAACTCATATGTTGGAGCTAAATAAGTAGATTCCATGAAGATGGAGTAGAATGACAGATGCTAGAGACTAGGAAAGATGAGAGGATGAAGAAAGATTGGTTAAGGGTACAAAAATAAATTTAGATTGCAATAACATGTTCTAGCATACAATAGCAATAAGGATGACTATAGTTAAGAATAATTTCTGTCTATTTCAAAATAACTAGAAGAGAAGATTTAAAATGTTTGTAACAAAAATGATAAACAAACAAATATCCAAAATACTCTGATTTGATCACTACATATTTTATGCATGTTTCAAAATATTATATATACCCCTATTGAATATGTACAATTATTATGCATCAATAAAAATGAAAGGTAAAAGATAGTACACAGGATGGAAAAAATGTTTGCAAATTATGTATCTGATGAGTGACTTGTATGTAGAATATGCAGATCTAAGATCTTTAGATCTTTCAATTCAGAATAAAAAGAGAAATATCTCAAGTGAAAATTAGAGTTCTGAATAAAAATTCCTCCAAGGAGGATAAACAAATTGCCAATATGAACATGAAAAGATGTTCAACATCATAGTTATTAGAGAAATGAAAATTAAAATCCCAATGAGATACTACTTTACACCTTCTATCATAATTAGAATTAAAACGAATGATAATAACTAGTTTTGGTATCATTTCCATTAGTGTAACTGTAGAAAAATTGGAACCCTTATATGGTGTTGGTGAGAATGAAATAGTTGTAGCCATGTAGAGGAAAGCTCTAGCAGTTCATCAAACAATTAAAGAGTTATTTATGACCCAGAAATTTCACTTCTAGATATATACCCAAGAGAAATAAAATCATATATACTTACAAAAACTTGTAAATCAATACTGATAGCAGCATTGTCCATATACAATGTGGAAATGGTCCAAATGCCCATGAATGTGTGAATGAGATACCTCCGTCATATAGAATATTATTTAGCCACAAAAAATAATAAAGTCCTAAAATATGCTTTAAGTGTGGAGAAACTTTAAGAATATTATTGTACGTTTTTAAAAAAGCCTCAAAAGCTCACATATTCTATGATTGCATTCACATAAAAGTCCAGAATAGGGATAACCATAAAGGCAGAAAATAGATTAGTAGCTGCTTAGGGCTGAATTTAGGGTTATTGGGGGATTAGGAGCATTATAGCTAAGAGGTACTACGTTTATTTTGATGTGAAGTAAATGTTCTAAGTTGTGGTGATGGTTCCACATATCTGTAATAGAGACCATTTAATTGTATAGTATAAAAGACCTAATTGTATAGTATGTAAATTATATATCAATAAAGCAGCTAAAAAACCACAGTGTAACGCGATCACAAATCCAGACTGTAGAAAGTTTCAGTGACTGCTAACAACAACTCTGGTAGGAATGCGAAAACAATGAGATCTTTTATTCATTGTGGTCTGTAATGTAGACATGTCCATCCACTTTGGAAAACCCTTAATTATACACAAACTTTATAACCCAGCAACTCCACTCCTAGGTATATAACCTAGAGAAACATATGCAAATATCTCTAGGATTCTACAATATATTTAACAAAGAAATTGATATCAGCACAGCTCATGATAAGCAAAAAAAAGAGAAGCAATTCAATTGTTCATCAAGGTTAAGTAGACGAATAAATGTGGACTTATTCCTGGTGATTCAATATTAGATAACAAAATAAATGAACAGCAGTTACATGTAAAAACACAGATGACTCCCACAAATGCATAATTGAGTGAGAATGGCATTTTGTAAAATGATACATACAATATGATTTTTATTTATACACTATTCAACAATAAGTAACATCAGACCAGACTGTATAGGGATGTTACATATATATCAAGACTATTTAAAACATTTAAATAGTTTTTACCTGAGTGAGAGAGTTGAAAGTTTGTGGCAAGGGAACCAAACACGGAGAACTTCGGAGATTTGTTTGTTTATTTATTTATGTTTTTACATTTTACTTCTTAAACTGAGATGGGAATATATAATGGTTTTAGCTACAACTTATATTTAAAGTGACCCTTCCATATGAATGAATGTGACCTTAGTTATAATTACTAAGAAAAAATGGAGAAAAAATAAATCATAGTAAGTATAAGAAAAACTACACATCCCGATATTAAAACGTGACAGAGAGACTTTGTTACAGATTATAGAACAAGATTTGATGTGGCTGTAGCACGAAGTAAATGGAAGAGAGAGAGATTGAAACATGTTGTTACAGGAAATAAAGTACAGCCACAGGTGCTGTGCGGAGCAACTTAAAACTTGATCTGGGTGATTTAGAACCACTGGATGCTTTTTAACTGAATAGACACAGACAGATAAAAGTTGCCTTTTTTATTCAATCTGACTACAAGATATAGACAGAGAAACAAAACAAGCATTGAGCCTGGAGGCAGGAAGACATTTTAGAATGCTCTTACACAACTTCGGATACTTGAATAAGATAAAAGGAAACAGGTATTTATACACATAATATAGAGGGTATAGTAAATACTTGGCTGCAGAGAGACAATAAAGAATCAATTCTGGCATCAACATATCAAGCTTAATATACTAGAATTTAGTTATTGGTGTCAATATCCTTGAGCAAGGACCTGGGGGAAGAGAACATAAGGTGTGCCAGAAGAGGACATTTTTGAGGCTTATGTGAGTCACCACACCACACAGAAACAAAGAAACGTCCAAAATTTCATGCTTCTCTCATGCCTAATTTATTTATCAACCCAGTTTTCCCAATATCCATAAACATTTTATTTTTCCCTTTTATATCAGAGCAATTATCAGTTTATTCCATTCTACGTCTTACATGTTGTCTCATATTATCATCACTTATTGTGTTCTTTATAATATTATTGAGGACAAGGGTCTACACCTGTTTATTGATGTATTCCAATGTCCTGAAATATTTCTTGACTCATAAAAGTCAATAGACAATTTGTTTTCAATGAATGAAGAATCTGATGTCATCAAATGTTTTTCATTTTTTTCTCTCCTTCCATGAATTTCCTTAAGAAGGAAACAGTTATTGAAAGTAAGGAAATATCTCCACTATAAATATTCCTACATTACAGAAAATTCTAGTTACCAGATTTACAATGGTTAAAGATATGTTATTTTGAACATTATTGATTCTTTTATTAATGATTTGTGTGTATTATCTTTATATACACGCCATGCATAGGCATTGGATATAGATAAGGAAGTTAATAGTGCCAGTTTATAGTTTACTAAACAATTTACATATCATAAAATTTACCATTTAAAACATTTAAAAATACGTAACTCAGTATTTTTTATACCATATTCATATAATCTTGCACACCCATAATTGCTAATTCTAGAGCTATTTCATCACTCCAAAAAGAAATCCTGCACTCCTAATTTTCCTCTCACTTCATCCTCTGGAAAGCACTAATATACTCTCTTTCTCTATGAATTTGCCTATTCTTAAAATTTTATATAAATGGAATCACACAATCTATGACCTTTTGTATTTGGCAGTCTTTATGTAGCATAAAGTTAAATTTCACCCTAAATAATTCAATTTAGCTTATCTTGAAGTACAGGTTTTTCAGTGATAAACTGTCTCAGTTTTTGCTTATCTAGGGAGGTCTTAATTTCTCTTTTTTTAATCATAGGTTTGTTTCTCTCCATAAATGTCTGGGGGCAGGTAGACAATGATAGGGCTTTTTCATGTGTTCTATGAGACTTTCTGGAGCCAGTTGACTTCAAACTCACTAGCCCATCCTTAGATTACGGCCTTGTCCTCTGGTCCAAGCTACCATCTACTTTCCAGAAAGCAGTATGGAGAAACAGAAGAGGCAAAGGGTGTATATCAGGGAACATTCTTGGAAGCTGCCACATATGCTTCTGCTTATGTTTGACATGGCTACATCTAGCTGTGATGTAGATGTAGGACTGTAGTTTTTACTCCTTACAGTCTTGTGCCCAATAAAAAATTCTAATTTTTTTTTTTTTTTTTTTTTGAGACGGAGTCCCGCTGTTTAGCCCAGGCCGGATTGCAGTGGCGCAATCTCGGCTCACTGCAAGCTCCGCCTCCCAGGTCCACACCATTCTCCTGCCTCAGCCTCCCGAGTAGCTGGGACTACAGGCGCCCGCCACCGCGCCCGGCTAATTTTTTGTATTTTTAGTAGAGACGGGGTTTCACCGTGTTAGCCAAGATGGTCTCGATCTCCTGACCTTGTGATCCGCCCGCCTCGGCCTCCCAAAGTGCTGGGATTACAGGCGTGAGCCACCGCGCCCAGCCAAAATTCTAATAATTTTTAAGAAGAGGAGAATGAATATTGGTAATAATTAATAGTCTTTTTCACAGGTATACATTTTAAAATAACTCTAAAAGAATAACGAGAAACTAAAAGCATTTGTTATTTGAAGAATAAACAGCTTAGAATGGTGCAGATGAGAGTAAGAATGCCTGGGAAAGTTCTCACTATATATGTTGTCAATTTTTTTGATTTCTGACCAATGTATATATATATATAAAATCAGCCTTCTGTATTTTGGGTTCTTCATCCGTGGATTCAACCAACTACATGTGAAATATATTCAGGTAAGTTAAATAAAAGGGTGACTGTGTCTGCGCTAAACATGTACCAACATTTTTTTTCATTGTCATTATTCCCTAAATAATACAGTATAACTAAGTGTTGTAAGTAATCTGGAGGTAATTTAAATTGTAGGGGAGTATGTATATAGGTTATAAGCAAATACAACACCATTTTATGTAAGGCACTTAAGCATCCAGGGATTTGGGTATCCCACAGGGGGTCCTGGAACCAAAACCCATGGATACCTAGGCTTAACTAAATTACCTATTTGCAAACTTAAATAGATTTAAAAATACCCTCCCTAAAGATAAATACATAAAAAAGAAAAGAAATATATTCCAAATAGTCTCAACGTGAATGAACCAAGGATGGTCTTCTGTCCACGCTTGGGTCAAAGTGTCACATGAGGAATAAATGCCTTGGAGATCAGTGGACTAAGGGCTCTATCAGTTCTAATGACTAATCACAAGAAGGCATAAAACAAGGTGTTTTAGTTTTCTATTGCTGTGTAACAGCACCAACAACAAAAAACACAAACTTAGCAGCTCAAGACAACACACGTTTATTATCTCACATTTCCCTTGTGTCAGGAGTCTAACATGTTTTAATTGTGTTCTCTGTTCAGAAATTCATAATGCTGAAATCAAGACATTGAGTGATTGTGCCATTATCTGGAGGTTCTACACTGGCAAGATCACTTGTCAGATCATTTGGAATGTTGAGAGAATTCAGTTCCTTGTAGCTGTGGGATCATGTTACCTGTGTTGTTGGTGATTAGGATAGGCACACCTCAATAATTTCCCTTTTTTAAAGTCAACTGTATTACACAGTGTAACCTAATCACACTAGTAATATCTCATTATATTCACAGGTTACACCCATATTCAAAGGGATGAGGATTATCTCCTCCATTTTTGAAAAGAAGTTTTTGCCAGATACAGAATTATTAGTTGAAATTTTGTGGGTATTTTTCTTTATGAAAATTGAATATTTTAACCCACTGCCTAGTGGCCTGGGATATATTCTGTGTTGCATGCAGTTACAGATACCTTTTTTTTCCATCAGCTTACTGGTCATCTAATGATTGGACAGAAATTTCCTTTAGTGTTTGGCACAACAGTAAAATCTCCCCACTTCTGCAGAGTGACTGTGGTATGTTGGAAATGCCTCCAGCATGAAGCCACAACATTTAGAGCTTCACCTTATCTTTATTTCCCACTTTCACATACCCTCAAGGTAAAGAAGAAGAAGAAGGAGGAGGAGAAGGAGGAGGAGGAAGAGGAAGAGGAGGAGGAGGAGGAGGAGGAGAAGTAGTTAGACATTAATGCTTCCTCTGGTGTCTTCTGAGTATGTGCAGAATTCTGGGCATGCACTTGGCCTTATAAATTCTCTAGAATATGTCAGATCTTCTCAAAGCCCTTATTCCCTAAAGCATCTCATTCTTCAACCTCTCCTCTTAAGCATTTTGTTTATTCTCTTGTTTGCCACAACTGTAATCCTTTGCATTAGACAGCTCTGACTAAAGCGTTTGCCTACATATGTTTTCTTCAAATACCCACTGGGTAGCAGCTTAATTATCCTAGGCCCAGAGGCCTAGCAGGAAAAAATTGTTTCATGACCAGGCCCAGTATCCCTGTGCTGTGTGTAGTGTAGGGACTTAGTGCCCTGCATCCCAGCCATTCCAGCTGTGGCTGAAAGGGCCCAACATGAAGCTCGGGCTGTGGCTTCAGAGGATGCAAGTTCCTAGGAAGCAGTGACTTCCATGGATCTGACTTCCACATTCCATGATGTGACTTCCAAGGAGTCACCAGACAGGTGAAAACAAAAGTGGCAATTCTTTAAAAATGAAGTCCATTATGTTTCATCTAATACTGCTGCTAGAAGTGCAGGCTGTTTCTTCACAGCTACTACTGAGCTGGAGAGTGGAAAATGGGACTTTGGTAAGTTAAAATACCATACCACTGGCTGTTTTTTTAAAACCAAAATTCAACTCTTTTCTTTAAAAAGTGCTGCTACGCTGACTCCATACTCTTGGTTAGTTTCTAGTGCTCTAAAAACTTGATTCTAACTGATTTTTGACTGTTTTTAAATTGCTTTTATGGAGTGGTGGAGTTTTTACTCCATCATTTTCATGGAAGTCCAGTAATATTAGTATGATCTCACCTTTACAGAAGACAAATCCAGACCAGATTATATTGATGCAGACTGTAAAATCAACATAAAAATAGATATTCCTGTTTTTTACTTGCAACCCACATCCACATTAGGTGGAAATTTGAGGTTTGCTTTATTCATTTATACATTTTGTCAATTTCAGACTCTATATTTTTAATTTTAGAATGTAACAGTTTTTTAGGATACACTTAATACTTCATTTTCAGTATTAATAAGTACAAACTCCGAAAACATTTGCTCAAATAAATAAGATCATAAGAATAGAATATGTTTTGCTATAACAATGACAGTTGTTTCCTTAAACTCTCAAATTCTGGGCAAAAATCATACAGTCAATACTTTTTTTAAATTATTCATTATTTTACAACTTAATTATATCTTTCTTCAGGATTTTCGAAAGCAAGTAACTGGAAAACACATGAAGTACAAACAGGGGGTTTACTTAGTCAATTAATGTGTAACTTTTTAAATATTACAACCAGTAGCAAAATGTTATTTGTCCTCTGCTAGGTACAATGTATTTCACTGAGATTCAGAATAGTTGATAATTTTGTTTTGGAAAACAGCAGATGCTTATTTGTACAAAGTGGGAAAAGAGGCCATATAGAGCCTTAAATACAAATTTATTCTCTGCCGTATCCATTTTAACATATAATGTATAATATACAAAGTATACAGAAATTGAGATTTTAGAAATTGTTTTATTTAAATGTTACTGTATCTGTTTATAGGCCACTTGAGAACTATTCCTAAAACCCATATTAATAACCGCTTTTTTATTTTTCATCTGGTAATTGCTCTATAACTAGCAAGAAAAAGATAATATATTTTGTTTAAAAAGTAATGACAAAAGATTAACCCAGTTAACCTGGAGGGTAAGTAAAGCCTGCATACTGTAAGTATGATGTCATGTTATTAAGGGTTTATTCAAAGACCAAAAGAAAAAGGCATTATCTGGTGAGCAGCTGCCAAGTGGTATCATTTTCAGGAATGCTATTCCTCAAATATCCAGCATAATACTTGGATATTGTTTACCAAAAATTTAAAACTAATTTTTTCAAACTCAGAGTACTCAACTCAGAAGTGTGATGCTAGACTTCAAGATGTCATTTGGTGATACCATTTTATAAGTGAACAAATACTGCTTCTATCGATTTCTCTTTTAATTTTCAACTTTTGTAATATTCATATTCTGTTGGCAGGATATTAATGGACAGGGAAAATAGCTTATCACATTACTCTTTAGACATCATGAGATTACAAAATGTGTCAACATGGTCTTTATAAAAAGATAAAATCACAACTTCAATATATTGAAGATAATATCTACAACTAAAAATATTTTAGGGTGTTATTCAAGTAATATCTTTGTTTTCTCTTTTTAAATTGAAAAGAGTTTATGTTATTCATGAGAAAAGATCTTAAAGTTGAAGTCACAACTGAATGTGGCAGAGATTATCTGACTGGTGTGGGTTGAATTGTGTCCTCCACAAATGATAATGTTTAGTTCCTAATCCCCGGTACCTCTGAATGATACTTTATTTATAAATAGGGACTTTTCAGATTTAATAAAGATGATATCATACTGGATTAGGGTGGACTCTGATTCCAATGACTGGTGTCCTTAAGAAAGAGAGATTTGGAGACACAGGGACATAGAGAGTTTCACAGAAAAGACCTTGTAAGGACAGAGGCAGAGTTTGGAGTTATGCTTTCACAAACCAAGGAATGCCCAAAATTACAGGCACCATCAGAAGCTAGAAGAAGCAAGGAAGGATTTTCCCTAGAGCCTGTGGCATGAACATGACCCTGGTGACCCCTTGATTTCAAACTTCTAGCCTCCAGAATTGTGAGAGAATAAATTTATGTTTTTAAAGCCACTCTGTAGTAATATGTTCTGGCAGCCCTAGAAAAATAATACATTTTCATTAAATCCATGTAATTGGTGGGGAGTGGGCATGCAGTTGGACAGAAATCATCAGACTGTCTTGGTGACACTAGGTGTCACTCATTACTAAGTGTCACTCATCGCTAGGTGACACTCATTACTCAGTTTTTTATGTTCTTTCCTGTTCTGGCTTTATAGCCTTCCAGGGCAATCTGGTGAGACACTTACTGGAGAAGGCAGGTCCTCTATCAGCCTAGGCCCCTCATAGTTTCTATTGACTGTAGCCACTGAAACTGCTGAGCAAACTAACTGCATTCAACTGTTATCTTAGCAAAAAATAAGGTTCGATTTTGTTCTGCTCCTAAAAATTTGATGTTTTTTTGCTAAAGATATGAATTATTAAAGTGCAGTTACACAGATGTGTAGTATATTAGTCCAAACTAAAACACTTATATTGTTAGATGCAGTGATAATTCTTAAAATGGTGGACCAATTTTTTCATAAAGTAAAATGCAAACTTGGTAATGTAAAAAGAACAATGTTCCAGTATTCATTTAAATCTGATAGACAATTTTAATTTTAGGGTAAATAGGACTTTAATACTAAATAAATCTGTTTAGCAGGGTTCTTTATTTTATATATTTATTTTAAATAGAAGGTGTGTGAGAAGATGACAGGGACCAGAGCATAGTTTTTAAATCCAGAATAATTTTTACATTACAAAAGACAAAACATAATGAAACTAAATTCCATGGGAAAAACTTAAAAGAAAATTAACTGATGATGTTTCTATGAAAGATGTAACACCAGTGAGTGAGGACAAACCAGCAAGAGACATAAGACCTACATGACATCAGACAGAGGTTGCTTAAAGGACGTGTTACTTTTTCTTGCCCCAGAATTGGTTTAATGCTCTGCCATCACTTTAATTCTTTATTATTTTTGAACAAAAGTTTTCACATTTTTCATTTTTGCACCAGGCCTCATAAATTATACCAGTCCTGGTGTCAAAATCTGTAAACTTGTACAGGAGAAAACAGCAGCTGACAGATTTGGCAAAATAATTCAAAATAACCAACAGATATTTATGAGACAAGTATGTTGGAGAACAGCAGCCGAAACAGGGATAAGTTTTACCTTTTCCAGTAGTGAGTTAGTGCACGGGGCCTATGGTAAGATGACTTGATGTGGCTTTAGCTAACTAATCCTGATGAACTACCATCCCTTTCCTCTCAGTGCTCCACTCTAAGACAAGACTAAATATTGACAAGATTCCCCTGAAAATGCATTCAAATTGAGTAGGAAATGGACAACAGAGACAGAAAAAAGAGAAGCCTCTTGACCAAAATAGCAGAGGATAATAACACCAGGAAATCCCAAAAATTAAACAAAAGGTGCCATATGTTTGGACACTTCTTGGAAACAACAGAATATAGAACTCTAGGAAGTTAAAAAGCTCTCCTGAAAACTGCCTCATTTTCAAGTTTAGGAAAATTAATTTCACACGAAGACAGAAAAGAGAATATTATTGAGTTCAAATTCCACAGTTAGTATTAAAACACCAGAAAGAATAGAGAACAGAATAGTATCTCTCCAGGTATAAACTCAGAAAATTGTGTCCATTAAAGTAACACAACCATAATCTAGTATTTTAAAACAACTAATAGACTTTAAGAGAATGAAGGAAAAGAAGAAAAAAAAAACTTGAATCAGAGCCACAATAACTCAGATATTTGGAGAAAGATCAGAAAAAAATTAGAATGTAGTCTCATTTACAATAGCCATTAAAGAAATAAAATACCTAGGAATATATTTAACCAAGGATGTGTGATCTGTACAAGGAGAACTACAAAACATTATGAAAGAAATAATAGATTACATAAACAAATAAAATAACATGCCATGCTGATCGATTGAGAGAGTCACTATTGTTAAAATGATCGATATGGTTTGGCTGTGTCCCCACCCAAATCTCACCTTGAATTGCCGTATGTTGTGGGAAGGACCCAGTGGGAGATGATTGAATCATGGGGTCAGATCTTTCCTGTGCTGTTCTCGTGATAGGAGAATGTGGGAAAGTTTGGAACTTCCTAGAGACTTGTTGAATGGCTTTGACCAAAATGGTGGTAGTGAAATGGACAACGAAATCCAGGTTCAGATATTCTCAGATGGAGGTGAGGAACTTGTTGGGAACTGGGGCAAAGATGACTCTTGGTATGTTTTAGCAAAGAGACTGGCAGCATTTTGCCCCTGCCCTAGAGATTTGTGGAACTTTGAACTTGAGAGAGATGATTTAGGGTCTCTGGCAGGATAAGTTTCTGGGTAGCAAAGCATTCAAGAGGTGACTTGGGTGCTGTTAAAGACATTTAGTTTTATAAGGGAAGCAGAATATAAAAGTTTGGAAAATTTGCAGCCTAACAATTTTACAGAAAATAAAATCCCATTTTCTGAGGAGAAATTCAAGCTGGCTGCATAAATTTGCATACGTAATGAGGAGCTGAATGTTAATTGCCAAGACAATGGGGAAAGTGTCTCCAGGGCATGTCAGAGGTTTTCATAGCAGCCCCTCCCATCACAAGCCCAGAGGCCTAGGAGGAAAAAAACTGTTTCATGGGCTAGGCCCAGCATTCCTGTGCTGTGTGTAGTGTAGGGACTTAGTGCCCTGCATCCCAGCTCTTCCAGCTGTGGCTGAAAGGGCCCAACATAGAGCTCAGGCTGTGGCTTCAGAGGGTGCAAGTCCCAAGCCTAGGCAGCTTCCACATGTGTTGAGTCTACAAGTGCACAGAAGTCAAGAATTGAGGTTTGGGAACCTCCGCCTAGATTTCAGAGTATGTATGGAAACACCTGGATGCCCAGGCAGAAGTTTGCTGCAGGAGCAGGGCACTCATGGAGAAACTCTGCTAGGGCAGTGCAGAATGGAAATGTGGAATGTGAGTCCTCACATAGAATCCCTATTGGGACACTGCCTAGTGGAGCTCTGAGAAGTGTGCCTCTGTCCTCCAGACCCCGGAATGGTAGATCCACCAACAGCTTGCATTGTGCACCTGGAAAAGCTGCAGAAACTCAATGCCAGCCTCCAAAAGCAGCCAGGAGGGAGGCTGTACCCTGCAAAGCCACTGGGATGGAGCTGCTCAAGACCATGGGAACCACCTCTTGCATCAGTGTGACCTGGATGTGAGACATGGAGTCAAAGGAGATCATTCTGGAGCTTTAAGATTTGATTGCCCCACTGGATTTTGGACTTGCAAGGGGCCTGTAGCCCCTTTGTTTTGGCCAATTTCTCCCATTTGGAATGGCTGTATTTACCCAATGCCTGTACCCCCATTATATCTAGGAAGTAACTAACTTGTGTTTGATTTTACAAGCTCATAGGTGGAAGGGACTTGCCTCGTCTAAGATGAAACTTTGGACTGTGGACTTTTGAGTTAATACTGAAATGAGTTAAGACGTTGGGGGGACTGTTGGGAAGGCATGAGTGGTTTTGAAATGTGAGGACATAGATTTGGGAGGGACCAGGAATGACATGGTTTGGCTGTGTCCCCACCCAAATCTCATTTTCAATTTCCGTGTGTTGCAGGAGGGACCTGGTGGGAGGTAATTGAATCATGGGGGAAGGTCTTCCCTATGCTGTTCTCATGATAGTGAATAAGTCTCGCGAGGCTTGATGGTTTTATAAAAAGAGGAGTTCTCCTGCACAAACTCTTTATCTTTGCCTGCTGCCATCCATGTAAGATGTGATCTGCTCCTCTTTGCTTTCTGCCATGATTGTGAGGTCTCCCCAGCCATGTAGAACTGTAAGTCCATCAAACCTCCTTTTTTTTTTTTTGTAAATTGCCCAGTCTCAAGAATGTCTTTATCAGCAGTGTGAAACAGACTAATAAAATGATCAGACTTCCCAAAACAATCTATAGATCAATGCAATTCATATTAAATTGCCAACATTATTTTTCACAGAATTAGAAAACATAATCCTAAAATTCATATGCACCCAAAGGAAGCCCAAATAACCAAAGCAGTCCTAAGTAAAAAGAACAAAGCTGGAGGCATTACATTACCTGACTTCAAATTATGCTACATGACAAGAGTAACCAAAACAGCATGGCATTGCTAGAAAATAGACACATAGATCAATGGAACAAAATAGAGAAACCACAAGTAAAGCCACATACCTATAACCACTGAACTTTGACAAAGCCAACAAAAATAAACAATAAGGAAAGGACATCCTGGTTAATCAATGGTGCTGGGGAAATCAGATCACCATATGCAGAAGAATAAAACTGGACTCCTACATCTCACTATATACAAAAAATAACTCAAGATGGATTAAAGACTTAAATGTCAGACCTGAAGCTATAAAAGCCCCAGAAGAACACATAGGACAAACTCTTCTGGACATTAGCCTGGCATAGAATTTGTGACTAAGACTGCAAAAGCAAATGCAACAAAAATTAAAATACACAAGTGGGAACAGATTAAAATAAAAAGCTTCTGCAAAGCAAAAGAAATGATCAACAGAGTAAACAGACCGCCTACAGAAGAAAATATTTGCAAAAATGCATCTGATAAAAGACAAATATTCAGAATCTATAAGAAATTCAAGTCGACAAGAAAAAAAACAACTTCATTAAAATTTTGCAAAGGATATGAACAGATGTTTCTCAAAGGAGACATAATACAAGTGTCCAGCAAACATACAAAAAAATGTTCAACATCACTAATCATCAGAGAAATGCACTGGAGAGGATGGGGGAAAGTGGGGATGGTTAATGGGTAGAAAGAATAGTTAGAAAGAATGAATAAGATCTAATATTTGATAGTACAACAGAGTGAATGTAGTCAATAACAATTTAATTGTACCTTTTCAACTAACTAAAAGAGTATAATTAGAGTGTTTGTAACACAAAGGATGAACACTTAAGGTGATGGAAACCCCATTTACCCTGATATGATTATTACTCACTGCCTGCTTGTATCAAAATATCTCATGGAACTCATAAATATACATATCTACATAGCCAGAAATATTAAAAATTTAAAAAATATCAAATCTCATACTAGTCAGAATGACTAATATTAAAAAGTCAATGAAACAACAGATGTTGGCAGGTTGTGGAGAAAAGGGAATGTTTATTCACTGTTGGTGGGAATGTAAATTAGTACAACATTTATGGAAAAAAAAAATGGGGATTTCTCAAAGAACAAAAAGCAGAACTACCATTTGTCCAAGCAACCCCACAACTGGCTATCTACCAGAAGAAAAGAAATCATTATATTAAAAAATCTGCACCTGTATGTTTATTGCCGCACTATGCACAATAGCAAAATCATGAAATCAACCTAAATGCTCATCAACAGAGGACTAAATAAAGAAAATGTGGTATACACACATCATGGAATACTATACAGCCACGAAAGAATGAAATGATGTATTTTGTGGCAACATGGATGAAGCTGGAAGCCATTATCTTAAGTGAATTAACTCAGAAACAGAAAATCAAATACCTCAAGTTTTCACTAATGACTGAGAGCTAAACAATATGTACACATGGGCATAAAGACGGAAATAATAGAAACTTTCGTCTCCAAAAGGTCGGAGGGTGGGAGGTGTACGAGACTGGAAAAATTACCTATTAGGTGCAGTGTTCACTATTTGGATGATGGGCACACTAGAAGCCCAAACCTTACCCTCAACACAATATATCCATGTAACAAACTTGCTCATGTACCCCCTGAATCTATAATATTTTCTTAACAAAGGATAAAACATTATTACAGAAACAAGGGAAAAGTAACACAAAAATTAACTAATACAACAGAAGATGTTATAACAGAAGATGAGTTGAAAAAGGAAAATAAATATCGGAAAGAATTGATTGCAATCAGATTTAAAATGTAGCATAAGGGCGAAAAATTACTGGATGGGATAGAGTTCTTGCTTTTGCTCAGAAAAAAAAGTTGTTCCTCTCAATCCTTCCTGCAAACACAAGGTACAGTTTCTATGTTCAAGAAGAACATTATCATTATGTGTGATTACCATACTCATTTAGAAGTTACAGATTGGGAAGAATCATTCAACCACTTTAAGAAGGGGGTAATTAAAATTCTTAAGTCAAAGGAAGAAAAGAAACGACATAGAGGAACATAAAACAGGTGAAATAATTAGAACACAGATACTAAATCAGTTCATACAAGCCAAAATCAATTTAATGAACATGTTATATATCAACTGAGTACTTTCAAGAGAAATCGTAAAATATTCTGTGATACTGGCATAAAAAACAATATGCTCATAAGAGCATATAAGCATTAAAAAGGTGAAAGTAAAAATAAAGGAAAACGTACTGAAATTTGACACTAATCAAAAAAAATTGCATAGATATACTACTATCAGGCATTCAGTGCAAGGGCTACTTAAGATAATGTAGGTTTTGCACTTTGTACAATGTTAAGGTGCAAAATTGCATAGCCATAGTATAAATTTTATGCAGTAAAGTGCATAAATCATACACTTAAACTTGATTTATTTTCACTGATTAACAGACCCATGTAAGCGTCACTCAGATCAGAAATGACTCTAAAAGTATACATAAGGGCCCCTTATTAATCCTTGGTAGCCAACTCTCAAGAATAATCATTGTCTCTACTTTTAACAGTATAAATTAGTTTTGTATATTTTTATATTTTATGTAGGTGGAATCCTACAGAATGTGTTTTGCGTTTGTCTTCCATTACTTAATTTTTTTTGTTGTTGAAATTCATTCATGTTTTAGATCATTCATTCTCATTGCTGTTTAGTATTCCATTTTATGTAGGAAAAAAGTAACCTTGAGCTCTACATAACACTGCACACAAATTGTACATAAAACACATTCTAAACTGATAATACACCTTTAATTTGAAAGATAAAACAAGAAAGACTTCCTTTAAAAAAAGAAAATGTGCAAGATAAAAATTAGTTAAGAGAAAGTGCCAAATATTAAGGATAACAATATCATATAGCTAACCTGTAACTTACAGATAATGCAATTCTCTAAAGAAGAAAATTGAAGGAAATAGAAAAGATACTAAAAATTATAATTCAAGGAAACTCCCTGAAAATTTTGAAAATATTACTGAAATGGCACACCACACAACTGAGAATACCAATTCGGGACATTTCAGAAGTTTAAAGAAAAAATAATTATTTGGGCATCACAAAATGAAATAAAGTTAAAAGCATGATATTTATAAGAGAAATAAAAATTGGATTAATTTCAAAACTATCCATACCTTACCCTTAATGCAATATATCCATGTAACAAACCTGCTCATGTACCCCCTACTTTATGGTAGAACAACTGTATAAGGCAATGATTATATATCCAGCAAAACTGACTTTCAACCAATTCAATCAAAAAGCAAAAACTTTGATTTTATGCATGGGCCCTTCTGGAGGAATCTACTAATGATAAAATTTAAACAATCAAAATGAATTAGAGAAACTTTCACACAGGTCCTTTGCCTGCTGTGGAAATGGGCACTGAAAGGTAGAAAAAAAATAGTATGTAATCATAGAATGATCTACTTTTATTATTCTCTGTATCCCGAAGGATCAGGAATGTTGGTATGAAACAAAAGAGATACAGATGTATCAAGAATACAAGAATATGTTTTAATGAAAGTCTTGTTGTCTTCAACTTGATTTGAACATCAATTTGAATCAATGAGTTGTCTCAAAAAGTCCTAGAAATGGTTGCCCACCAACAATGAGCATCCATGCTCAAGATTGTAGTCTTGCAGTGACTTTCCTCACTAGAAGATTTCAGCCATCTTAGGAAAATAGCTTATTTCAGGTATTAAGAAGATAATATACAAGATGATGTTGTATCATATTTCAAGAGATATTTTCCAGGCATCTAGGGATATGTTGAAGGTACCGAGGTTTCCACTAGGTAGAGATGCAAAGTTTTGAGCTTTAATTTTGATAATAATTATAATGGATTAGAAATAATATAATACATTTAAATAATGAGTTTGTAAAAATATTTTAAATTATGTAGTCACCTTCAGGAAATGATAGCAAATCAGTATCTTGGAAACTAATAAACAGAATAAAGGGCAAGCATTTGTCTTGACTTTCCTGCATAAACTGTACCAAATAACACCTGAAACAAAATTATACATGAGGGAAGCATACCTTTATTAGAAAAATCTCAACTAGTAAATGGATAAAAAAATTATAAAATCATAACACCACCACAGTGAATACATTAGATAGATATAAACTACATATTAATCAATTAAAATAAGTATTAAGCATCAATGGCTCCTAACATCACAGATTGGAGAAAATTAGACATCATTTGTCTTTTGTTGTCCTACTATGTATCATATACGTATGTGAGCCACATACATCATATATGTATGTGATACATATACATATGCATATACATCACATATGTATGTGATACATATACATATGCATATACTATGTATCACATGGCTATGTATAGTCAAAGTTTGAGTCTTGCAAAGGATACTAAACTTAAGATTGATTCATTCTCTGGATGGAGGTGCCAGTTTGCCAGGAAATAGAGAAAAATAAGAAATATGTTGAGCTGCACCAATAAATAGAATCAGCAAAATTCAGAGTTCAGAGAATACTATAATTCAAATGTCCTAAAATCATTAGCAGATAGATTTTTTTTAAAAAAAAGGAGACTGGAGTGCTACCGATTAAAAGGAACTTAAAATACCTATCTCAAGAAAATAGGCAAAACTATACTGCCTAATTGTAATAATACCTGAGAAATTTAAAACTATACAAATGCAAATAACAAATTTGTTTATGAGGGGAGGAAGGGATATGAAAAAAATCAAAATGGATTCTAAAGTTGATGGTACATGCTACTTATTGATCTAGATGGTGGATACAAGTGGAAATAAGAGTGTTTGCTATAGAATAACATAAAAATTTATTAAAATAACGAGTCAAAACGCCATCTATAAAACAAGACAAAAAAGAGGTTAAGTCAGACATGTAAAATACAGAATATTTAAAATGTAACTAAGGTGGGTAGTTACAAAGTTTCTCGGCAGAGGAGCAACCAAAGTTTCTTATAAATTCTAAAATCTGCATATATTACTACTTAACAAATAAAACGTTATTATTGTGGAGCCCCAAGAAAAGGTGACAACAAATTCTGCTTGTTTTAGAGAACTCCTTTTTTAAAAAAGCAAAGCATAAGTATATAATGTACTTACTTTATTTAGAAATTGTGAAAAATATTGTAAGAAACAACTTATATTTCTTGTAAAATTGAAACATGGTAGCAATTGTAAGAGAAAACCACCTTGTGAAGCTTTTTTTAAACATCAAAAACAATTATATTAAAAAATGTTAATTACTTCTGAAATGTTCAAATGAGGAAAAATTATTGCTTTCTTTAGTTGTCTAATGTCAACAAATAATATAGTATTAAGAAAAACAGGCCGGGGGAGGTGGCTCATGCCTGTAATCCTAGCACTTTGGGAGGCTGAGGCAGGTGGATCACGAGGTCAGGAGTTCAAGACCAGCCTGGCCAACATGGTGAAACCCCGTCTCTACTAAAAATACAAAAATTAGCCAAGCGTGGTGGCTGGTGCCTGTAAGCCCAGCTATTGGGGAAGCTGAGGCAGGAGAATCACTTGAAACCAGAAGGCAGAGGTTGCAGTGAGCCGAGATCATACCACTGCACTTCAGCCTGGGCAAAAGAGGGAAACTCTGTCTAAAACAACCAACCAACCAAACAAACAAACAAAAAAACCCCCTGACATTTCTAAACGAAAACAAGTACTGAAACGTAAATGTAAAATTGTAGTAAAAATGTGCATGCATACATGCTTATTTAAAAATAGTTTTCTTTGTATACCTACTCTTACCAGATACTGAAATTTACATCATAAAATGGACATATTTTGCCTTCCAGAAATATTAAGTAGATCCATGCAAAGAAAGTGTTATTAAAAATGTAAATATTTCGTTCTATAAATAGAAACTAAACTGGTATAGAAACTTTTTTCTGAATTACATTTTTGAATTGAAATGTATACTTTATTCTTTAAATTGTGTAAAGAGAGTTAAAGTGTTTTATTTGTCAATACAGTAATTTCAGACACCCACTTATGTCAAAATGTATACACAAGCATTCTATTCCGTAATATGTGAATAAATCAGGAAATTATTGAAAAAATGTTGTGATACATAAAAGACAAAAAGAAAGCACTGTATTTGTCCATGCTGAAGTTTATGAGAATACTATAAACACAAATTCTGCTGTGTCTAACTTAGTCACAACTCCTCCCAGTTAATAGCAAAACCAAGGGAAAGAACAGCAATATCATCAAATATAGGAAAAGCCACAGGAAATTAGCTACCAAGTTGATGAGTATGGTTAAAAACCAACACACTTAAAAACAAATACAAATTACAACACCTATTTAGACTTTTCAAAATATGTATTGCAGGAAAACAAATCTGTGAGACTGGAATAGTGTCACCGCTTAGGGAGTGAGTAAGTGTAGACATAAGATGACATTTGGCTGGATGTGATTCATACCACATGATGGAGTTTGAGTCAGCCGCTGAGAAATTCAAATTTATTTAATTGGCTCCAGCTTCTAGGTTAAAAATTCTTGATTTGCTCCTGGACATCTAGAAAGTTCAAACAGGAAATTAAATGGCTCCTTGTACCCCCCAAAAAAATATAGGAGCACTATTATTTATTATTTGGCAGTTTGACAGAGTAGAGATTAATCACTTTATCAGGTTCTAATTTAAATAAGTCTATATATCTCAAAGGTAATAAATTATAGTTTAAGTTTAGGAATGCACTTAATCATTTCTGCTGATTTTTATTTCTTAGTCAACTATACCTTCTACCCAAAGACATCTATAATTTTGAAATTAAGTGGGAGTTTGTCCAGTGAAGGGAAAAAAAACTTATCAATAAAGAGAAGAATGGACTCAAAATGCTGCAGTTAGTTGTTGTCATAAAATACAAAACGAAACTGGGGACCCTACTATATTTTAGTTATAAAAATAAAGAACATTTGGATATAATCTTGTGAAAATATCATGGAATTCTACAACATATTAATTATTGATAACTGCACTTTAGGGTATTCTATATCATTAAGTATGAAATAACACAAACATTTGATGTAGCTTTGTGGCATAAGAGAGGCAAGTATAGGAAGCTAGTTAATTATTAACATTCTCGTTTATGCCTTCTCTTTGGAAAACTGTGACGTTGATCTAAAGTATTAGAGGGTATTAGTAAAGTATTAAAGTATTTTCCACTATTAATCTCTTGGGAATATAAATCAGAGAGCAAAATATGGACAATTCATAGCTGGGATCAGGAGATATCCATACTCTTGACTTTCTCAGAATTTTAAAATATTATCTTCTTGAAGACAGAGGGAATTTTTCGCAACTTGGAGTAAAAGTTATGAAGTAGGGGTGACTATCCTTCTCAATTGTATTAGCTTAATCTCCTGTTATGTCAGAGTAAATGTTTTGAAACAAGAAAGGAAGGAGAGAAGGAAGGAAGGAAGGAAAGAAGGAAGGGAGGGAGGGAGGAAGGGAGAAAGGAAGGGGGGAAGGAAGGAAGGAAAGAAGGAAGGAAGGAAGGAAAGAAGGAAGGAAGGAGGGAGGGAGGGAGGAAGGAGGGAAGGAGGGAGGGAGGAAGGAGCAAGCCTACTTTCCTCTGTTCTTAAGGTCACTATCTTAGTTTCCCTAACTTAACTATTCTTCCCAATTACAGTAAGTTCTCTCTTACAGCTAATGTGACTTGTTGAGAATTCAAGTAAGAAGATACTACAAACAGAAGGGACCTAAAACCCAGTTTCCTCATACCATCTTGGGATGGCAGCAAGATGTAAAAAAATATATTTTTTGCTATACCTTAAGACCCTCAGCAATTTAAGTTTCCATTGTCGCAGACTGACATGTCATCTACAGAATGTTTTCTATGCACCCTATTTCTATCAAAATAGAAAAAAAAATCCAAACCCAAAGGATGAAAGGAAGGATACTTGGTGTCTTTATAAACAAAGACTGCTTGCATCCCTAACAAGTTTATAATCCTGAGGAATAACAAATGATAAAAGCTCTAAACAATGAGTTTGAGTTATACCTCCCTTGCAGAATAAAGATTGAGGCCAAAAAGCATATGAAAAAAAGCTCAACATCACAGATCATTCCAGAAATGCCAATCAAAAGCACAATGAGATACCATCTACACGAGTCAGAATGGCTATTATTAAAAAGTCAAAAAAATATCAGGTGCTGGTGAGGCTGTGTAGAAAAGGGAATACTTACACACTGTTGGTGGGATTGTAAATTAGTTGAATCATTGTGGGAGGCAGTGTGGCAATTCCTCAAAGACCTAAAACCAGAACTACCAGTCCACCCAGCAAGCCCATTACTGGGTATATACCCAGAGGAATATAATCACTCTACCATAAAGATACATACACACAAATTTTCATTGCAGCACTATTTACAATAGCAAGAAGATAGAAGCAGTCTAAATGCCCCTTAATGGTAGAGGAAAAGAAAAGTGTGGTACATATACACCATGGGATACTATGCAGCCATAAAAAAATGAGATCGTGTCTTTTGTGGGAACATGGATGGAACTGGAGGCCATTATCCTCAGCAAATGAACATGGGAACAAAAAACCAAATACTGCATATTCTCACTTACAGGTGGGAGCTAAATGATGAGAACACACAAACACATAGAGGGGAACAACACACTGGGCCTTTTGGAGGGTGAAGGGTGGGAGGAGGGAGAGGATCAGGAAAAATAACTAATGGTTACTAGGCTTAATACCTGGGGTAATGAAATAATCTGTACAACAAACCCCCATGACACAGGTTTACCTATATAAAAAACCTGCACATGTACCCCTGAATTTAAAAGTTTTTAAAAAGGAAAGTAAATTTTTTTTTCTGTGAGATGTATGGTAATATTCCCACATATGTTTGCACAAGATCAAATTAAAACTTTTGAAGTATGGATGGTTTCTGGTTTTAAACCAATCAGTGTAGTTTGCTATAAATTTAGAGAAAATTGAGGAAGGACATATGAATATAATAATTTCTGCTTGTACTTACCTGCAAGAGTAGTGCAATGGATTGAATATTTGGGTTACTCCAAAATTCATATAGAAATTTAATCCCCAATGCAATAGTATTATAAAGTACCACTTTGAGGAGATGATAAAGTCATGAGGCTCTGTTCTTATAAAAGGGGTTGAGGGAATGTATTTGGCTGCTTTTTGCCCTTCTACCAAATGAGGACACAGCAACAAAGCACTACCTATGATGCAGACAGTGAGGCTTCACTACATCTACTGGTGCCTTGATCATGGACTCCCCAGCATCCAAGACTGTGATAAAGAAGTTTCTATTATTTATATAATACCTAGTCTAAGGTATTATAGCTTTATTATAGTTGCCCACATGAACTGAGACAAGCTCTTAATGTACATTTTATATTAAGATATTGAATTATGGGTACTTTAAAACTGCCATTCAGTGTATATTTTATAATTAAAAAACCTCACAAAGCTAAGTAGATGATTTACTTTGTAACACAGTTGCATTGCATTAAGCGTATAAAATTAATACACCTGGATACATGTATTTAATTGCTAGTACGATTTATATCTGTGAGGATAGAATTACCAACAACTTTCATTTTTCCAGGAATTATTTGAATTGCATTTTAGTAGTCGCTATAAATTGTAAAAATAAATGTTTTTACAATGTGTATTGACAATAACTACAGCAACAATAACATTATTTTTCCTGATTTTTTAGATCTGTAGCTAGTTATTGAATCTGTATAAATATGATCAAATAAATGCTTAGAGATTCAAACTTTGATCAATTAAATTAGCAAAAGTCATACTTAGTGTTAAAATTCATCCTGATATCAGCATGTGGTAGATCCGCTGAATTAAACCAAATTTTCCACCCAAACAGGTTAATTAGTGCTAATTAGCAAACTCATTCATTTTGCTAATCTCTGCCAGGCTCTGTGACTCTTCTGAATATTAGACAGATGTTATCTTCTAGCACTGCTGAAAATTCCCTACAGAGAGACTCTTCCAACTCCTTTTTCAACGGCCCTTTGTTCCTAACAATTACAACTCTTGTCACCTTTGGGATAATTCCCTGGATAACATCTATTTTTTAATTTTTAAAACAGATATAGAAATAATTAGACCAAAAATATAGATTAATTCACATTTTATCAACCGCTTTTGTTCCCATTATCCCATTTTGCTCTAGTCAACTACACTCTTAAATGATTTATTGCTATTATTTTATTGCTAAAGTAAAAAACATTTTTGTTCAACCAAGTTCATGTAATTTGAAGCTTATAAGGGCTTCAACTTACATGAACTTACATAGCTTCAACTCAGGTCTTCTGAGTGCAACTGTGTATCATTTACATGTACACACACACACACACACACACACTCAATTTCATTCTAAATGTAACTTTGTATTATTCACATTGGTATAACACTGCAATGTGTATTGGAGTGTCATTTCAATAAATAGCTTTGATTTAAATTGCTCAGTAATATATACAAAGTACTGTTCAAAGCTTTGTGAGCTCAATAGTCATTTCTCCTCTCATTTAATGTACAGTTTTGTGAGATGTAAAATTATAATTATTACTAGTAATGTATACAGTTTTTTTTTGCTTCCTTAAAAAATGTATCACTAAACATGGATGGGATTGAGAAGACTGAGCACAGGCACCAGAATCAAAATTAAGTCAGTCTTCCACCTCTCTTTAATGAAAGTCAGATTTTAAGTAAGTTACTTAACTCTCAGAGTCTCATTTTTTTTTACCATCATGATGAATTATTTTAGCAAGGAAATAACTAATGCTTTGAAAATATAACTTAGAATGCTTCTCACAAGTAACTGTGCAATTAGTGTTTGCTACCTTTAAATTATCATCTCAATGAAGAGACAAATTTAAGTGCTTATTCAGCATTTTCTTATTTAAATAAACATAATGTTCTGAGGATATTCAGTGACCCCCAGAAAATTCAGCGCTACAAATGGAAGCACCTACAATAGCTGTAAAATATTCACTATTTAAGAGTGAGAATTAATTAAAAAGTAATTTTCAGTTTGATTATGAAAGTAAAGGCTTGAGGATGAAATTTTGATATTGCTATTTGTGTATCTTTTGTTCACATCCTGATGTCCATTTGCCATTTGTTTGCAAAGTTTGTATCTCTGTTGCACATATAATTGGATAAATTGGTATCTATCTCTCTATCTATCTAATATATCCATATATATGTATATGTGTGTGTGAAGTAAGCTACCTTGAGAGCAAGAGTAACCTTTTTTCCAAGTGACAAAACAAGTCCAAGTGATACAAGAAGGAAATTGAGGAAATAATATATATTTATAAAAATATATAATATAGATGTATAGAATTTTAAAATGTAAATCATAAAATGTCAATATTTGAGTGTGGACAAGAAGAATATTTTAAAACACCATTTTACTGTAATTTTCTAATTATTTTCTATTATTAAATGTTGCTTCCATAATTTCTATGTGCTTTTTGGTAGAAGCTTCATTTCACATTACACCATTGATGCCTCCTCTCCATTACTCTCCATTGCCCAGTAGTTTGTTTGCATACTTTCTTCATGTGAAGTGCCCCAACTCACAACGTATGTGTAGCTATTTTAATATCAGATTATCTTGCATTTCAGTAGAATACAGGTAACCATGAAAATGTATGCTTCTCAAAGGCAATGATTTTTATTGTTTTTGTCACTATTATTTCATCATTGCCAAGAAGAGTGTGTGATACTAAGTATATATTCAGCTAATATTTTAAGTTAATTAATAAGACAATCACCAGAATAAATAAATGCATGCTTTGTTACTATATTGAGACAGATCTAATTATTTTTAAACTCTAAATAAGAGTTACAAATGAATAGTTCATGGCTGTTCATTAAGTATTTTGAATGGATAAGTGTCTCTCTGCTTGAAAATGTAATCCTGGACTTATAGTACTAAGCCTAAAGAGTACAAGGATTTTAAATGATTGCCAGCCTTTTATGTATTTGTTTGTCTCAACATGCAAACCAGTAGTATTTAACAGACTCTGATAACTAAAAATGCTTTAAAAGAGTGGAGTCCTGAGAGAGAATAAGAGAATGATACTCCATAGGGAAGAGATATAGAAGCTCTAAAAGTAGAATGCATGTTTACTTAAACATTTCCCACATTCCCTAAATTTATGTTATTTGTCTCAAAAAGAACATGTTTTTAGCCAACTGTCTGCCTCTGATCATTGTTGCTCATTAATACGAATTGATTAGCTGTGGAAATAGGTTTAGAGAAACATTGTGATCTTACCTTTAATTTTGTGATAAGGTTGGCCTCCTGGGTAGAACAAATAATGTTACCTCTTTGGGTCCTAATCCTGGGCAATGGGTGCTGAAAATATGTCTTTTCTTTATGAATAAATAAATAATATATGTACACATACATACATATGTTTTTATTTTTACATATATGTGTATGGGTGTGTGTGTGTGTAATGATATCCCATATGGCCTATGGAAAATATGATCATTCCCTCTTATCTCAAGCACAATTAACTCTAGCTCCCTAAATTTCACATAGGATCTAAATCATTCTACAGACAGATCCGTTTATATTTATTTTATTTTGAATAAAAGTATTATAAAGCCATCCTGAATCCTTTCTGTCTTCTGGATCCACCATCCACCTTTACCCTTCTTGCTTTCTGCCTCAGAAGAAGACCATTATGACTAGAAATATGAGGGGGCTCCTGTGACCTCTTTCTTTTTTGTACCATTTTTTATTTCATTAATTTCTCTTGTGAGGCTAACTTGGATTTACTGTGTCACTTGGACAGAAGATCATTGCTTCTCTCAAGTTAGCTTACTTCATTTTACTGACTTGCTATGAATTCTAGTAACCTCCCCTTTCCCTTGTTCCTTCAGACTTGCAGGCAGTGATAATCCACCTCTTCCAGCTTAGGGTTCCTGTGCTAATCATTATGGTTTGTTTTATCTAACCTATACCTTCATAAAATAGTTTTTGTAAATGTTCTAATTATCTTAATTTGATTATATTATATTTATCTAGTTGTGGCTTTGATAATAATTTACATTAGAATTATCCCAGAAAATATGAACTCATAATGAGATTCTAGGGTTGGTTGGCTCAAATTTTCAAGGCAAAGCATGTTCAAGCCAAATTCTTGACACATAGGACTAATCCATAGCAAAAGGGGTACAACAATTTCTCATATTGTCACCAGTAGTAACATAGGATGAATTATAGGTAGAAAGTATAATATTCAGAGAGAAAGTGGTTGTGGTATTTAGTTACTATAGCAACTAGATTGATTATAAAGATTTTAGAATCACCTTTCTTTGTACAGCTCTAGAGAACACAGAGAAAAGAAAGATTATCAATATCCAGTGAAGCATGCACCTAGAAAAGGAAGTTTTAAAAAGTTCTCTCAGCTTCTGTAATAACAGGGAAGGACCTTTAATATGAGAAACAATATACACCTTGCAGACCTTCAGCACAAAATTGAATGCTCTCTCATTTTAGACATTTTATGCTAAAGTACTTACTTTACTCTCATGGGGACAAAAGCAGGATCCCCCACCAAGAGAAGGGATGAGAATTTGGGGAAAGATATTGGTAAGTTTAAGAACCTTGAAACTCTACATTTTCCTGAATTTCCTATGCTCCTACCCCTATCCAGGATATGATCTCTGAATGCAAACATTTTAATGGCTACATTCAGAAAGTTTTCTCAGAAACAGAGGTCAAATATACTTAGATGTGCCCACATGGCCTTTCATTCCTTCAAGTCCCTAATGAGAGTCAAACACAACAAATCTCTGATGGAGAAGTGCAAGTCTTGAGCCATGAGAAAATTGCCTTGACATTGAAAGACTTATAAGCCTGGGAAGCATTTTTGGAAGTGATTCTAGTACGACACATCAAAGAAGACATAATAAAAACTTGATTTGGTCAAATGTATTAAAAATAGAGTACAGCATTTGAGCATTAAAGTATTGACTGGATTGACAGAGAGCAATAATAATCTACTAGTTGTGCTCTTGATAGCTGTACTAAAAAACATTAATTAATAACATGAAAATGCTGGAATTTCATTGTATGTTGAAGAGAATGGAGTCTGAAGAGTTAATATTGAAATGTTAAAGCTAGTCTATTATGTGCGTGTTGCTCAGCTGTTCCTAAGAATATCTCCCAACCGGGCCTTCCATTACCAAATATTAAGAAGAGCGTTTTGACCTTCAAGAGCTTTGTATATTGGAGATGACTAAGAGTGATAATACACTGGACACACATAGCCTGATGTCATTGGCGTAATAAGATCTAAAGATGTAGAAGCAAGTTGGCAATAATTAACCATCAGGGACAGCATGGTTATAATTACCACAATAAAGTTACATTCACATAAATTAAATTAGATGTTTTTTAAGCACAGTGATTTGTGAGAATAACTAAATGATCTCAGGGTTCCTAAATATTAAATAGAATTTCAGCTTCCAAAAGTACTGCTTGACTTACGTACCAAAAATTGTTCTATGTCTGCTGAGATCTACTCAGCAGAAAACCAACTTGACTATAATAATGGCTAGTCTAATAGCCAGGTAGAGTTTCTTAGATATAGACTCCAAATGGGAGCTGATTTTTTGATTTTTGGTTACTACTACAGTTTTTCCACCCAGAGTAAAGATTTGTAGCAGTTATCTGGTAAATGAATTCTTGGTCTGATTCTAAAGTAGGTTTAGTGAGGCAATTGTTTCCTTGAATTATTTCCTCAATTCTGAAATGAATAGTTGGAACCTACATATTTGATGCGTAACAGAATACTCAGTTTGATTTCTTAACCCATGAAGTGAGGGAAACATGCCAAATGGAAGTTCCATGTTTGAGTTTCTCTTTCCTTCAGCCAAGATAGTAAACCAAAAGTAATGCCACATTTGTGCAGGAATTGCAGAGATCAATGTCAATTAAAGTCTTTATTTTTATTTTACTTTTTCAATTTAAATGTATCCATGGGTTTTGGGGAGACAGGTGATATTTGATTACATGAGTAAGTTCTTCAGTGGTGATTTGTGAGATTTTGGTGCACCCATTACCCAAGCAGTATACACTGAACCCAATCCATGTGCCTGATCTCATCCATTTAGAATCTTTAGAGATACATGCTTGCTAATTTCCACCATATCTCCTTTTAACTCATCTATTTGTCCAATGAACAGTCCACTAGTTAAGGTATATTATCTGTGACTTAGATATTCAGTCATTCAGTGCCTTGCAAATGACAGCTCAACAAAATTTCTTAAATGAGGGCAGAAACATACAAATATTGAGGTCTGGATTCAAACCTCACACAATGTCCATTCCAATGTGTTTTATTGTCAAAGCAAATCCAGAGGCTATCCCATAGTCAAGGGATAAAGAAAAAGACTCAAAATGTTTATGGAAGGAGCAACAACATTATAATACAAAGTTGTCTGCATATGGGAAGAAGTGGATGATTTCCAACATTTTTATACTTTGATATGAATGACAATGGTTGTGACCAATGATTAACTAGGGTTCCTCCTATCATACTCTTGCTCATTAATATTAGTCAAAGGAAAACTTCAGAAATCCAATGGAGACGAGATTGCAAGAAATATGATGCTGTGGGAATATCAAGTATAGTAGATATCACAGTCAAAGTGTTAGAAGATGCCAAGGAAAAAAGGGAATTTGTAAATGTACAGGACACAAATAATTTTACATCATCATCAAGGGTAGAAACAATATGGGAACTATATTCTTATTCTTTGTTACTCACTTATTATTTTCATCTCTGTTTTACTCCATGATCTTATATAAAAACCATTATGTGCGGCTGACGTTTAATTTTCAGGTGGGGATATGGCTAAGCAAATATCATCATACATTAATATGGTTTTGGTCATCCTTTGAGTCAATAACACAAATTTTTAATCTAGAAAAGATATCCAAGAGGATCCTGAAAATTTACATAATACTGTACTGAATATCTGCCTGTTATCTCCCAGGGTTTCAAGAAGCATGGACTGAGAGTTATTCAATGCTTTCTGGCTCTCATTTATTTTAGTCACAAGATGCTCTGGCAGTGATCAGAGAAATGGAGGAGAAGGAAGTAATTTTTCTTAAGGCATCCTGCTGAAAAAAATTCCTTCTTCTAAGGCCATTGAAGTTATTACCAATATTCAACACTGTGCATTATATAGAATTTCTGGTAGCTATAAATAATGCAACCTTACTACAGATGACGTGATCACTCATGAACAGTTTAAAGGTATTCACAAAAGATCAAATCAGCAAGAATCTTTTCAATAGATATTTTGGTGAATTTCCAAAATGCCTGTATCATTATTTATGTTTTATTAGATAACTCTCAGAATATATTTTTAAAAATCAATGAAACTAAATATTTGACATAAACAAAAAATGATAGACTATACTGTAACCATTACCTTGTCTATAGTTTCTTTGGATTTTAGTGTTGTACGGCAGATATATTTTTTTTAATTAACTTGAAAAGATTGGTAAAGTTTCAGTAACTTACTTCTTTCTGGCTTCATACCCTTTGAGATGTGCTTTCAGAACCAATCGTTCTCTCAGCTCTGGATACCTGTTCTGAGTTGCATCAATTTTAATTTCTCTTCCTATTAACCCAGAAGGGATACAGTTCTCTTAGTTCAACACCATCTCTACACGAAGAACAGTTCTACATGCACTTCAGAGAGCTCCTTGCACGACGTTCATAGTCGGTATTCAGAGGAAGGGGTAAAGGAAGATGGTAAAGCCATATATGCATTAGTGGGTGGGTTTCCAGGAGGCAAGTGAAAAGGACATCCTGGAGAGCTTGCTCTGAGCAATTAGGGCTCAGCTAGTTTGAAAGGGGAAGCAAAAATATATGGCAGAAGAACTTAGAAGCAGAAATGGGTTTTTACCAAAAACATTAACATTTGAATATTAAAAATAGCATGATCTTATGATAGAAAATAAAAGCTGAGCAATTGCAATCCTTATTTCCAATGTAAAGAATGCTAATGTTCTATCATAAAGTAATGAGTGTTCCATACAATATTTTTAAAGCTTAAATGATTTTTGGAAACCTCGAAATCTGTATTCCTTTTCTTGGTAAGTCACAAATTATACTAACACGTTAAAAAGCATGATGAAAATCTAAAGAAAAAAATACTTCTTTAAAATCACAAAAATCCTTCAGAAACACAAAAGGTAAACATTTCATGGATGTGGAACTGTGAGAACTTACTTGTCCTTTGAAAGTATATATTAAAATATGCTTATCTGAGGTAATATTATGTGTCATATAATAAGGAAAGAATCGTGTGTGAGATTGTGTTACTAGTAACAGATATCTTGAACATATTTCTTTAAGTCAGAGAAATACTGATGGAATATAAACAGAAACAAAAAAAGTGTTTGGATAAGACGAGATGTGAAGAATCAAGAAAATGCTATTTATGCAAAAATAAAATAATAGTCAAAAAATGTAATATAGTTGGAAAACCAGTTATCATGGATGGTGATGTAGAATTTGTATAGAATAAATACTTTTTTGACAAACTCTTAGATGTAGCTACTTTAAAATACATTTTAAAAGCCTACTGTATAACATGTTAAGTGCTTTGCATTTTATATGCTATTTAATTTTAATCACCAAATCCCAGGAAAAAATGAGTATCAAAAATGAGAAAATTAAAGTTTAAAATTTTTGTTATGGAATATAACATTAGATTTTGCCAAACACTTTCTCTTTTATCTTATTGCTCTGCCCCATGGCTTACGGCTAAATTGTATTTTAGAAAAAAATTGTAACATGTTCTGGCATGAGAGTATAAAGCAAATGTTACTTTTAAATTTGAGTTTGATTGTATGGTAGCTATTTATAATTTTCTGTTGAAGATCACATTATTTAAATTCATTTTTTCCCTTAATCTATTGGTTTGTCCTGATTCTTAAACAAGTGGGTTAGAAGATGTAAATTCTTTTTTATTATTTTTATTATACTTTAAGTTCTAGGGCACATGTGCACAAACTGAAGGTTTGTTACATATGTATACATGAGCCATGTTGGTGTGCTGCACCCATTAACTCCTCATTTACATTAGGTATATCTCCTAATGCTATCCCTCCCCCCTCCCCCAGCTCCCCCCCCCCTCCGCCCTATGACAGGCCTCAGTGTGTGATGTTCCCCTTCCTGTGTCCAAATGTTCTCATTGTTCAATTTCCACCTATGAGTGACAACATGCAGTGTTTGGTTTTTTGTCCTTGTGATAGTTTGCTGAGAATGATGGTTTCCAGCTTCATCCATGTCCCTGCAAAGGACATGAACTCATCCTTTTTTATGGCTGCATAGGGTTCCCTGGTGTATATGTGCCACTTTTTCTTAATCCAGTCTATCATTGATGGACATCTGCGTTGGTTCCAAGTCTTTGCTATTGTGAATAGTGCAGCAATAAACATAGGTGTGCATGTGTCTTTATAGCAGCATGACTTATAATCCTTTCGATAAATACCCAGTAATGGGATGGCTAGGTTAAATGGTATTTCTAGTTCTAGATCCTTGAGGAATTGCCACACTGTCTTCCACAATGGTTGAACTAGTTTACAGTCCCATCAACAGTGTAAAAGTGTTCTTATTTCTCCACATCCTCTGCAGCACCTGTTGTTTCCTGACTTTTTAACGATTGCCATTCTACCTGGTGTGAGATGGTATCTCACTGTGGTTTTGATTTGCATTTCTCTGATGGCCAGTGATGATGAGCATTTTTTCATGTGTCTATTGGCTGCATAAATGTCTTCTTTTGAGAAGTGTCTGTTCATATCTTTTGCCCACTTTTTCATGGGGTTGTTTGTTTTTTTCTTGAAAGTTTGTTGAGTTCTTTGTAGATTCTGGATATTAGCCCTTTGTCAGATGAGTAGATTGAAAAAATTTTCTCCCATTCTGTAGGCTGCCTGTTCACTCTGATGGTAGTTTCTTTTGCTGTGCAGAAGCTCTTTAATTAGATCCCATTTGTCAATTTTGGCTTTTGTTGCCATTGCTTTTGGTGTTTTAGACATGAAGTCCTTGCCCATGCCTATGTCCTGAATGGTATTGTTTAGGTTTTCTTCTAGAGTTTTTATGATTTTAGGTCTAACATTGAAGTCTTTAATCCATCTTGAATTAATTTTTGTATAAGGTGTAAGGAACAGATCCAGTTTCAGCTTTCTACCTAAGGCTAGCCAGTTTTCCCAGCACCATTTATTAAATAGGGAATCCTTTCCCCATTTCTTGTTTTTGTCAGGTTTGTCAAAGATCAGATGGTTGTAGATGTGTGCTATTATTTCTGAGGGCTCTGTTCTGTTCCATTGATCTATAGCTCTGATTTGGTACCAGTACCATGCCATTTTGGTTAGGGTAGCCTTGTAGTATAGTTTGAAGTCAGGTAGTGTGATGCCTCCAGCTTTGTTCTTTTGGCTTAGGATTGACTTGGCAATGCGGGCTCCTTTTTGGTTCCATATGAACTTTAAAGTAGTTTTTTCCAATTCTGTGAAGAAAGTCATTGGTAGCTTGATGGGAATAATATTGAATCTATAAATTACCTTGGGCAGTATGGCCATTTTCATGATATTGTTTCTGCTATCCATGAGCATGGAATGTTCTTCCATTTGTTTGTGTCTTCTTTTATTTCGTTGAGCAGTGGTTTGTAGTTCTCCTTGAAGAGATCCTTCACATCGCTTGTAAGTTGGATTTCTAGGTATTTTATTCTCTTTGAAGCAATTGTGAATGGGAGTTCACTCATGATTTGGCTCTCTGTTTGTCTGTTATTGGTGCATAAGAATGCTTGTGATTTTTGCACATTGATTTTTTTATCTTGAGACTTTGCTGAAGTTGCTTATCAGCTTAAGGAGATTTTGGGCTGAGACGATGGGGTTTTCTAAATATACAATCATGTCATCTGCAAACAGGGATAATTTGACTTTCTCTTTTCCTAATTGAATGCCCTTTATTTCTTTCTCCTGCTTGATTTCCCTGGCCAGAACTTCCAACACTATGTTGAATAGGAGTGGTGAGAGAGGTCATCCCAGTTTTGTGCCAGTTTTCAAAGGGAATGCTTCCAGTTTTTGCCCATTCAGTATGATATTGGCTGTGGGTTTGTCATAAATAGCTCTTATTATTTTGAGATACGTCCCATCAATACCTAATTTACTCAGAGTTTTTAGCACGAAGTGCTGTTGAATTTTGTCAAAGGCCTTTTCTGCATCTATTGAGATAATGATGTGGTTTTTGTCTTTGATTCTGTTGATATGCTGGATTATGTTTATTGATATGCGTATGTTGAACCAGCCTTGCATCCCAGGGATGAAGCCCACTTGATCATGGTGGATAAGCTTTTTGATGTGCTGCTGGATTTGGTTTGCCAGTATTTTATTGAGGATTTTTGCATCGATGTTCATCAGGGATATTGGTCTAAAATTCTTTTTTTGTTGTGTCTCTGCCAGGCTTTGGTATCAGGAAGATGCTGGCCTCATAAAATGAATTAGAGAGGACTCCTTCTTTTTCTATTGATTGGAATAGTTTCAGAAGGAATGGTAACAGCTCCTCCTTGTACCTCTGGTAGAATTCGGCTGTGAATCCATCTGGTCCTGGACTTTTTTTGGTTGGTATGCTATTAATTATTGCCTCAATTTTAGAGCCTGTTATTGGTCTATTCAGCGATTCAACTTCTTCCTGGTTTAGTCTTGGGAGGGTTTATGTGTCCAGGAATTTATCTATTTCTTCTAGATTTTCTAGTTTATTTGTGTAGAGGTGTTTATAGTATTCTCTGATGGTAGTTTGTATTTCTGTGGGATTAGTGGTGATATCCCCTTTATCATTTTTTATTGCATCTATTTGATTATTCTCTCTTTTCTTCTTTATTAGTCTTGCTAGCAGTCTATCAATTTTGTTGATCTTTTCAAAATATCAGCTCCTGGATTTGTTGATTTTTTGAAGGGTTTTTTGTGTACCTATCTCCTTCAGTTCTGCTCTGATCTTAGTTATAGAAGATGTATATTCTTAACAACATCTTGGATTGAAGCATTCCTTGTTTACTGTGTCTGTCCAGATATTCCTGAGAAAAAGTACATTTGCCTTTATTCTTATCTATTATTATCCTCACAAAAGTATTAGCATTTAAATATAATAGCATCTTTCATAAACTTTTTGAAAATGTCAACATCTAAACAATCTTCTTCATAAAATATTTGATTGAATTCACTGGTGGAAGAGAAAGTACTTGAGCCAGTAGTTTAGTTTGTATGAAAACTTATAATAAAAATTTCACTTTGTTGAATCAATAAGGGCTATTCAGATCTTTCATTTTTTACTATGTTAATTTTGGTAAATTAGAATTTTACATGAATTTATTCATTTTAAATTTATTGCTTCTAAACATACAAATTTTTCTTATTGTCCTTTTAATACCTGTAATATATGTAGTGCCATTTCCTTTTTTATTGTAGTGTTAATTTGTTTTTTCTTTCTTTTTGCAAATAACCAACTTTTTGCTTAGTTGGCATTCTCTAATGTTTGTCAGTTTTTGTCCTTATTTTATTGTTTCCTGTTTACTGCTTACTCCTTGTTTTATTTATTATTCTTAAGCTAATGTTTAAAAATGAAGTTTAGATCACCAATTTTAAGCTTCTTTCCCCATGTTACATGAACTTTCACAAATATAGATTTTTTTCTACAGAACTATAAGGTGGAGCACAAATTCTGATTTTCTGTATATTTAATATAACTCAGTAAATGGTCCATGTTATTTATTCTATAATTGATATATTCTTTAGAAAAGACCTACTTAATTTTCAAAAATTTTGGGTTTTCAATGATATCTTATTACATATGTTAATTTAATTTAGTTGGGGTCAAATAATATATATGGATCTTTAAGAGCCTTTACAATTTATTGAAAATCTGTTCATGTACTACTATCATGTCGTCCTTAGTGAATTTTCCACCTGCAATTAAATTGTATTAAACAGTTGTTGGTTGTATTTATTTATTTATTTATTTTATTTTATTTTTTGAGAAAGAGTCTCGCTCTGTCACCCAGGCTGGAGTGCAGTGGCACCATCTTTGCTCACTGCAAGCTCCGCCTCACTGGTTCACACCATTCTCCTGCCTCAGCCTCTGGAGTAGCTGGGACTACAGGCGACCACCACCACACCTGGCTAATTTTTTTTATGTTTAGTAGAGACGGGGTTTCACCGTGTTAGCCAGTGTTGGTCGTATGTTTTTAAACTTTCATTTCATTTTTTTTTGTCCAAGCTATCACTTATCAGTGCTTTGTTTTAATATTCAAAAGTACTGTGTATTACTTTCTTAGGGCTGCCATAACAAATTATCACAAACTGGGTGTTTTAAAACAATAAAAAATATCCTCTCACAGTCCTTAAAACTAGAAGTCCAAAATCCAAGTGTCAGAAGAGTTGGCTGATCCTGTAAGTTTTGAGGGAGAAACTATTTCATGCCTCTCCCCTAGTTTCTACTGTTTGCTGGCAATGCTTGGTGTTTCTTGCATTGTAGATCTGTCACTTTCATGTTTATGTCTGTCTTCACATGACTTTTCTGCTGTGTGACTATGTCTTCACATTATCTTATTTTGTGGTTGTCTGTGTTCAAATTTTCCTCTTATAAGGACAACGATCATTGAATTAGTGCTCACCATAAGCCAGTATGACCCCTTCTTAACTTGATTAAAGCAGCTTGATCCTATTTTTAAATGTGGTCACATTCACAGGCACCTGGTGTCAGGATTTCAACATTTTTTAAGAATGGACATATTTCAACTGACAACATATGGTTACTACTTTTAGTCTTTAAACAGAATTTGAACTTAAACATAATACATAAACATATCTAGGTAATAGCAAGCATTCAAAATTCTTTGTGATTTTCTGTGTAGCTATTTCTATCGTCAATTTTTAATAAATATTGTATTCAAGAGAGAACAAAATATATATAATTAGAGGCGCCATTTATGTCATCAATTGTGGTGTTTCATATAATGTTAATAAAGTTTGTTGATTATTATGTTGAACCTTTCATATTCCTAAATTTTTGTCTGCTTCACCTGTCTTAAATTGAGAAATGTATATTTAAAGCTCAGTATGATGAGAATTGGACAATTGGTAACTGGTGTTACATACATATCTATCAAAGTCTACTTTTGCATATGCATGCAAATAAACTCCCAAACAAAAATACCCAATTCAGTCTTCACTACTTTACTTTCATGTACTTTACAAACTTGTGTTTTAGTAGTGTCCTTTTAAAATGAAATATTTTTTACTTTTTACATTTAATCTTTGTTTTTAATTGGTGAGGTTAGTCCTTATGTTTGTTGTGATTAGATACAATGTTTTCTTATTTTATACTATTTTTAACTTCTAATTATTCTATCTTTTTGTATGCTATTTATTTTTCCTTTACAAATATATTATTTTTTTCTTTACTGGTTTGTATGCTAATTTGGTCTCCTTCAATTTATCCATAGGCTTTCTTTTGTTACATATCATGATATGTAACAAAATGCAAACTTATTATATTAACTATCATTGTAAACAACACAAGGTTATCAAAAAGGTTTATACCAATCATCCTCAGATTACTTGCATGTTGTTTGTTTACAGTACTTCATATTGTACTTTTCTCTCATATAAAATAGACAGTATCATCAATATCATCATTATCATTTTGTAAAGATAGAGCTTATTTTATTTACATTTATTTACATTTATCCACATGTTTAAAGATTATTGGCTTCTCTATTTGTTTATTTTTCCCATCCTTGCCCTTCTAGCTCAGGCATTCTTTCTAGGGTAATTCTTCGTGTTTTCAAAGTACATCCTAATGAACTTATACTGATAAATTATATTTTTAATCTCAACACATTTTTCTCAAATAATATTATAAGAAAGTGGTTGCTGGTACAAATGATGTTGTTCAGTTATTCTATATCTTTGCTGATAGGCTGTTAAGTATTTCTATCAGTCATTGAGAGGGTTATTGCCTTAGTCCTTATTGCCTTAGGTTATTTTCTGTTGTTATAAGAGAATACCACAGACAAGGTAATTTGAAATAAGATAAGTGTATTAAGCACGGTTTTGGAGCAGTAGCCTAAATGATTTGATGCTTAAATATTTCTTCAGCCAGATATTCAAGTTTGTTCATATTAAATTCTGCATTCCATAAAGCTTTCAGGTAAAAAACAGTTTGGTCAAATTCCTTTCTACTTTATATGAGGTTGGCCCTTGCCTTGGTTTCCAAAACCTTGTTCTTCAGTTCTACTTGAGAACCATCGAAGTCATATTCAATGTCTGTATTTCTATCCACATTCTGTTCACAACCACTTAAATTATCTCTAGGAAGTTCAGGATTTTCTCTGATCTCTCCTACCAAGCCCTCACCAGAATCACTGTTAACACTTCATTTACCACAATACAGAATTTTTCTAGCCTGTTCCTCCAAATTCATATGGCTTCTACCCATCACTCATTTTCAAAACGGCTCCCACATTTTTAGGGAATTGTTATAGCAACGGCCTTATTTCTCAGAACCAATTTTCTGTTTAGTTTGTTTTTTGTTGCTATAATGAAATATCACAGACTGAGTAATTTATAAAGAAAATACATTTATTTAGCATATGATTCTGGAGGCTGAGAAGTCCAAAAACAATGGTAATGGCATCTGGTGAGATTCTTCTTGCTGTGTCCATGGTGGAGGAAATACCATGGCAAGAGAGCAAACACAACAGAGATAGAGACAGCACACTTGTATTAAAAAGTCATTCCCATAATAACAAACCCACTTCTATGATAGCAACATTAATCCATTCACTAAAGCAGCAGAATTAAGCTCGTGACATATAAACTTTCGAAGGAAACATTAAAATTATAGAAGTACATTCACAAATATAGTTGTGAATTTGTCTATTTCTCATTTCAGCTCTGTCAGTTTTTATGTAATGTATTTTGAGACTGTGTCATTTGGTGCACACACAATTAGGATGATTAGACTATACTGATGAATTGATACTTTTATCAATACATAATGTCCCTCTCTTTATGTCTCATAATTTATATTGTTCCAAAATCAAATATGTCTGACAATATATAGCCATTCTTGCCTTTGCTTTTTTAGTTTATTTTAAGTTATGCTTGTAAAGTGTATTAGTTCCCATATATCTGGCTTGAAACTAGGTCATTGCATTTGAAATGAGTTTTTGACATAAAATAGTTAATTGACATGTTTTTTAACCCAGTTGGTCAATCTTTTATTCATTTGTTCAAAATTTTTAAGTTATATTTTTATATGTCCATAGTAGGTATATATATTTATGGGGTACAGGAGATATTTTGATACTAGATGCAATTCATAATAATCACATCAGGATAAATGGGATATTCATCACCTCCAGCATTTATCATTTTGTAGTGTTACAAACATGCCAATTACATTCTTTAAGTTGTTTTAAAATGTACAGTGTTATTGTTGACCGTAGTCATCCTGTTGTGCTATCAAATATTAGATCTTATTCTTTCTATATAATTATGTGTTTATATTCATTAATCATCCCTGCTTTCCTCTCCAACTTCTCAGTACCCTTCCCAGGCTCTAGCAACCATCAACCTACTATGTTCATGAACTCAATTGTTTTAATTTTTAACTCTCAAAAATAAGTGAGAACATATGGCTTTTGTGTTTCAGTGCCTGACTTATTTTACCTAATATAATGTCCTCCAGTTCCAACCATGTTGCTGCAAATGACAGATTTGCATTAATTTTTTATGGCTGACTGGAATTCCATTGTGTCTATGTACCACATTTTTTTAACATATTCATTTGTCAATGGACATAAACGTGGCTTCCAAATCTCAGCTATTGTGAATTGTGCTGCAATAAACATGGTCATGCAGATATCTCTTTGATATTCTGATCTCCTTTCTTTAGGCATTTACCTAGCAGAGGGATTGCTGGATCATATGGTATTTCCATTTTTAATTGTTCAAGGAAAATCTACAGTGTTCTCCATAATGGATGTACTAACTTACATTCACAACAATAGTGTAAGACAGCTACTTTTTCTCTACATCCTTACTGGCATTTGTTATTACTTATCGTTTGCTTTTGAGACAGAATTTTACTCTTTTTGCCCAGGTTGGAGTGCAATGGTGTGATCTCGGCTCACTGCAAACTCTGTCTCCCAGGTTCAAGTGATTCTCCTGCCTCAGCCTCCCAAGTAGCTGGGATTACAGGTGTGCACCACCACACCTGGCTAATTTTGTATTTTTAGTAGAGATGGAGTTTCACCATGTTGCCAGGCTGGTCTCAAATTCCTGACCTCAGGCGATCAATCTGCCCTCCTCAGCTTCCCAAAGTACTGGGATTACAGGCATGAGCAACCATGCCCGGCCTTAGTATAGATTTGATTTTCATTTCTCTGATGATCAATGATTGTGAGCACCTTTTCATATACTTGTTTGTTATTTGTATGTCATCTTTTGAGAAGTGTAAATTCAGATCTCTTGCCCATTTTAAAATTGGATTATTAGATGTTTACAATAGAGTTACTAAATTTCCCTTTCTGTTCTAGTTATTAATTACTTGTCAGATGATATATTATTAATAGTTCATTCTAATACTACTATAAAGAACTACCTGAGACTGGATAATTTATATAAAAGACAAAGAGTTTTAATCAACTCACAGTTCCACAGGCTGTACAGGAGACTTGGCTGGGGAGTCCTCAAGAAACTTACAATCATGGTAGACAGGCAAAGATGAAGCAAACATGTCTTCATATGGTTGCAGGAGAGACAGAGAGTGAACAGGGTAGTGCTACACACTTTTAAACAGCCAGATCTCAAGAGAATGCACTCACTGTCATGAGAACAGCAAGGGAGAAGTCTTCCCCCAGGATCCAATCAACTCCCACCAGGTACCTCCCACAACACTGGAGATTACAATTCAACAAGAGATTTGGGTCAGGACACAGAGCCAAACCATATCATTCCACACCAGCCTCAAAAGTCTGAGTCCAAAGTCTCATCCAAGACAAAGCAAGTTCCTTCTGCCTATGAGCCTGTAAAATCAAAACCAAGTTAGTTACTTCCAAGATACAATGAGGGTACAGGCATTGGGTAAATGTTCCCATTCCAAATGTGAGAAAGTTGCCAAAACAAGGGGGCAACAGGCCTCATGCAAGTCCAAAACTCAGCGTGACAGTCAATAAATCTTAAAGCTCCAAAATAATCTCCTTTGACTCCATGTCTCACATCCAGGTAATGCTGATGCAAGAGATGGACTGCGAAGGCCTTGGGCAGCTCCACCCCTGTGGTTCTGCAGGGTTCAGCCCCCACGGCTGCTTTCATGGGCTGGTGTTGAGTGCCTGCGGCTTTTCCAGGTACACAGAGCAAGTTGTCGGTAGACATAACATTCTGGGATCTGGAGTATGGTGGCCTTCTTCTCACTACTCCACTAGGCAGTGCCCCAGTGGGGACTCTGTGTGAAGGTTCCAACCCCACATTTCCCCTCTCCTTTGCCCTATTAGAGGTTCTCCATGAGGGCTCTGTTCCTGAAGCAGACTTCTTCCTGGGCATTTAGGCATTTCATACATCCTCTGAAATATAGGTGGAGGCTCCCAAACCTCAATCCTTGCCTTCTGTGCACCCACTGGCCCAAAAACATTTGCAAGCCACCAAGGCTTGGGGCTTGCACCCTATGAAGCAAAGGCCTGAGCTGTACCTTGGCCCCTTTTAGCCATGACTGGAGTGGAACAGCTGTGATGTATGATGCCAAGTCCCAATGCTGCACAGAACAGTGGGGCACTAATCCAGGCCCACTGAACCATTTTCCCTCCTAGGCCTCTAGGTCTGTGATGGAAGGGGCTGTCACAAAGTTATCTGAAAAGACTTGGAGGCATTTTCCCCATTTTTTTGGGTATAACATTTCAGCTCCCCTTTGCTTATGCAAATTCCTACAGCCTTCTGGAATTTCTCCCCAGAAAATGGGTTTTTCTTTTCTACCACATGACTACGATGCAATTTTTTCAAACTTTTATTCTCTGCTTCCCTTTTAAATATAAGTACCAGTTTCTGTTTATTTCTTTGTTTATGCAAATGGCAATAGGCTTTAGAAGCAGCCACGCCACATCTTTAATGCTTTGCTGCTTAGAAATTTCTTCCACGACTTACCCTAAATCATCTCTCTCAATTTCAAAGTTCCAGAAATCCCCAGAGAAGGGGCCCAATGCTGCCCGTCTCTTTGCTAAAGCATGACCTTCACTCCAGTCAAGAGTGATCTTTACTCCAGTTTCCAATAAGTTCCTAATTTCCATCTGAGATATCCTCATCCATGACTTCGTTGTCCATATCACTATCAGCATTTTGGTCAAAATGATTCAACCAGTCTCTAGGAAGTTCCAAACATTTCCTCATCTTCCTGATTGGTCACTGGTGTATTATTTATGTCATTTGGTGAGGTCATGTTTTCTTGGATGATCTTGATGCTTGTGGATATTTTTTCATGTCTGGGTATTGATGAGTTACGTATTTATCATTGTCTGCACAGTCTAGGCTTGTTTGTGCTCATCCTACTTGGGAAGGCTTTCCAAGTATTCAGAGAGAGTTGAGTGCTGTGATGTAAGACTTTGTTCACTGCAGCTTTTTTTTTTTGACGTAGCAGGCACCCTATGCTCAGGAATGCTGTGACTCTTACAGACTCATAAATGTACTGTCTTGGTTGTCTTGGGTAAGATCTGGGAGAATTCCCTAGATTACCATGCAAAGACTTTTGTTCTCGACCCTTCCTTTCCCCCAACAAACAAAGTGTCTCTGTCTGTGCTGAGCTGCCCAGAGATGGTGGAGAGATGACACAAGTCCCCCTGTGACCAACACCACTGGCACTACACTGGGTCAGACCCAAAGCTAGCACAGTACTAGGTCATTAACAAGGCCCATGCCAACCACTGCCTGGCTATGTTCTCTCAAGGCCCTAGGGCTCTTCAGTCAGCAAATAATGAATCCAGCTAGGTTCCTGTCTTTCCCTTAATGGTGGCAAGTTCCTCTTTGGCCCAAGGCAGGTTAAGAAATGTCATCTTGGAGTCAGTGCTTGAAATAAAAACCTTAGAAATTGCCTTGGTGCTCCATTCTACTGTGGCTGAGCAGGCATCCCATCTTCAAAGTCCTTCCCACTCTTCTCTGACCTCTTCTCAAGCAGAAGGAGTCTCTCCCCTGACCACCACTACCCCATTGTGAATACTGCTGGCTACCACTGATGTTCTCTCAAGGGCTAAGGACTCTTCAATCCACTTATTATAAATTCTGCCAAGCCTGGGTCTCTCCCATCAGAGAGGTGGGCTGCCCTGTAATCCTTGATGGGTCCAGAAATGCCACCCAGAAGCCAAGTTCTGGAATCGGCAACTCCAGGATCCCACTTGGCACTCTACTGAACTATGGCCAAGCTGATACTCAAACTGCAAGGCAAAGATTCCTTTACTTTCCACTCTCCTTTCTTCAAGAAGAACGAGTCTCTCTTCTTGGATGACACAGCTAGAAATGTGCTGGGTCACACCTGAAGCCAACAAAGCCTTGGGTTTTACCCAAGGCCTGTAGTGAATACTGCCTGGCTATCACTCATGTTTCTTTAAGTCCCGTGGCCTCTTTAATCTGCAGATGATGAATTATGCCAGGACTGGATTCTTCCTTTCAAGGCAATGGGCTCCCTTCAGGCACAGTGTGTGTCTAGAACTGTTGTCTGAAAGCTAGGACCTGGAATGGGGGCCTCAGGACTCCGCCTGGTGCCCTTTTCTATTGTGGTTGAGCAGTTATCTGAGTTGTCAAAGTCCTCTTTACTTTCCCCTCTCCTCTCTTTAAGTTAAAACATGGAGTCTGTTCTGTACCTACGAGTTGTGCTCCCTGGGATCGGGGAGGGGATGACGCAAGCACTGTTTTGGCTACCTTGGTTGGTGTCTCACCAGGTTGCATATGCCCCAAGTCTACTTGCTCCAAGCCTGGAACAGCACCAGGACTTGCTTAGGAATTGTAGTCCTGGTGGCCTAGATTGCCTTTTAGATTTATTTAGGACCTCAGAGTGCTTTCGCCGGCAGTGGTAGAGCTAGCCGGAAGTTCTGACTACTGGGATGGATAATTCCTCCCTTGCTAGGGCTATTTTCATTGCTTCCTTGGTGGGCACTGGCCAAATTCTGCCCTGTATTGCTTTCTGCTGTTACAAGGCAGCACTGAGTTCTATAGCAAAGTCCACAATCCCTGCTCTTTCTTTCCCAAGCACACAAATTCTCTCTCCACACCACATGGTTGCTGCCAGGGGATGGAGGAGGGTTGGTGTAGGCAATTCAAGACTGTCTTTCTTACCCTCGTTGGTGCCTTTTTCATTGATATGATGTGAAAACCAGGTACTGTGGTCACTTACCTGATCTTTCTGTCTTGTGAAGGTCCTCTATTTGTGTGGATAGTTGTTCAACTTGGTATTCTTGCAGGATGGGAGGAATCACTGGAGGGTGTTATTTGACTATCTTCCTCTGCCTTGTAACTCCAATCTTTATTTTTTAATTGGGATATTACACGTTTAGAGGATAGAGATAGAAGAGTATGAGTGACTATAATATGAAGATCTTTATGTTTTTTTTTATTATTAAATATTTCCTTTATTTTTTTTTTTCATGTCAACATGGCACATCCAGGAAGTAGTACTTGGGAATCACAGGATTGGGAGATCTTTAAGATTATTTTCCGGTGAAACCCCGTCTCTACTAAAAATACAAAAAATTAGCCGGGCGTAGTGGCGGGCGCCTGTAGTCCCAGCTACTTGGGAGGCTGAGGCAGGAGAATGGCGTGAACCCGGGAGGCGGAGCTTGCAGTGAGCCGAGATTGCGCCACTGCACTCCAGCCTGGGCGACAGAGTGAGACTCCGTCTCAAAAAAAAAAAAAAAAAAAAAAAAAAAAAGATTATTTTCAGCTTACTCATTCTAGATATTTTTGTTTGTTTTTGTGTCTTTTTGTTGTTGTTTATGAAATCAAGTTTTTATTATTTTTTATATATATATTTTTATTATACTTTAAGTTCTAGGGTACATGTGCACGACGTGCAGGTTTGTTACATATGTATACATGTGCCATGTTGGTGTGCTGCACCCATTAACTCGTCATTTACATTAGGTATATCTCCTAATGCTATCCCTCCCCCCTCCCCCCACCCCACAACAGGCCCTGGTGTGTGATGTTCCCCTTCCTGTGTCCAAGTGTTCTCATTGTTCAATTCCCACCTATGAGTGAGAACTCAGCAAACTATCGCAAGATCTTTATTAAATGGTTGAGAAGATGAAGATAAAAATATTACCAAACATCAGCCATTGAGGTTGCACAGATATGAGTATGATCTGACATCTAAAAGATGCAAACAGAAAGTCTCTGAAGATGCAGTAGTTAACTGTCAATGTTTAATAGAAAGAAAAATTATATATTATGTGATATGAATTGGTTATAGCTTTCTATAAGTTATTAATGTTAAGAAAGGATGTTTTCTTATAATAATGAGGGCAGATCGAAGAATCAATGAAAGATAATAAAATTCAAAAGCAAATTAATTCACTTTTTCCTGCGGACTGTGAGTGTGAAGAAAAATTCTGTAGGTAAGGATGGTAGCTAGAATGGAAAGTACAGTAATTTTCAGTAATCATGTTTCCGTCTTGTTCTGTAGTTCAAATTGCTAGAATTTAGAATTCTAAATTTAGATTTTTTTGAAAATGTGTATGCTTTTGAGAAAGAACAAGGAGAGTACCTGAAGAACAGAGGAAATGAAACATTTATTTCATTTGAATGTAGCAGAAGAGAAAGATAGAAGGAAGAGTGAAAAGATTGGCTGATAGATTTAGTACTAGGAAGCAAACTGATTCTTTCAGTGCTTATATTTTCTAAAAATAGATGGTGAGCTTATCTGCTGAGCATAAAAATGAGGAAAAAAAAGAATTCTTAACTGTGTGGAGAGTACAGCATTTTAGAAATAGTGCACATTTTAAAAAACATACTAACATCACTATGACTGCATTGACACTTTTAGTGAATTGTTAAGAAGAACAGCCATGAATTTAAAGAGACATTTTTAGTTGAAAAGAACAGTGAAGTATATGAGATTTTACCCTGCTTTCACAGTAACAAGTTAATCTGTCATATTTTCATAGGCGATAGCAGAAAATGTGAAAAACTTGGGTCAGATACAACAGTTTATTAATCACAACAACAACAGTAGTCAGAATATCAGTATTTGTGCTTGTTCTACATGATACAGATCCACAGGGCAAGGCAAATAGGACAATCTGATACCTGCACAGGGCTGAAATAAAAGAGTAGAACCACATGCTTTGGAATTTTTTTTTAATAATAGGTAGTTAATCAGTTTGACATTTGCCCAGAGGGTAATTATCTTTATAATACTAGACAATGCACAAACACCTTTTGCTGTGTAATTATCCTCATAAAATAGTTTGGAAGAAAGAAAGGCACTGCTTCTACTCATAAGGCATGCAGAAACATGAGAGACATGTGCTTGCAATTAGGTCAAATGAACTTCCCATGCTTTTAGCCTACCCAGTGCTCTAACTGTAAAAAGTAATCTAAATATACATTCAAATAAATTATATCTCAATAAACTGATGGTTAAAAGCACTTGGCAAAGGTTGCTTCTAGGAATAAGGCACAGAGCATTGTAGAAATATTTCCTCAGTTTTATAATTAGGACACAGAATGGATAGTTTAGAAAAAAAAACGGACCATTTTAAAGAAAAAAAATTCAATTGTATCTGGATGACAACTGTGGTCAGCCCATATGTGTGGGCTATTTTATATATATAACACATATGTAATTTATATATTAATATATTATATGTAATACATATGTGAGTAAGCACTGTAACATTGGACTTGAAGTCTTAGGTGCATGTATGGTAGTTTTTATTATTTCTGCATAATTTTTGCAATTATTTGTTTCTCCTTACCCTTTCTATGCTTGCCCATCTCATTGACTCTGCAGCTTGGCTATGTGAACTGTGCTGAACAGCAGTATATAAGCAGATATGATATTTGCCATTTTTTAACGGAAGATATGTGTTTTAAATAGCTTGTTTGAGGCACTCATTCAGTTATTCTGTATTATAACAGCATGTCTCACATGCAGAAATCCCCTTAGGCCTGGATTGTAAAATAAACATTAAAAGATGCATAAAGTTCAACCTGGCCAAGAAAACTAGGGTCAAATTTAGTCCAGTGAAACCAAGTTGAGCCTGAGCAATCTGAACTAAGCCAAATCAGGCTGAAGGCCAGGAAAACACATCAGAGTCACAACTATTCCACTACAGTCATGAAGGTTAGATTAAATATATATATTTCTTCAAATTTCTCTCTCTCTCTCTGTCTATATATATATACACATATATATATGTATATATATACTCAATGAGACAAGATTTTTTGTTATACAGCATCAAATGGTCGAAGCTAATACAATGTTCATAAATTCATTATGAAAAAGTGAAAAGAAGCTAATATATAGAGTGGTATTCATGAAGTTCAAACGTGTATTATTAGATATCATTCTGTAACAGTTGGAAAAATGCCATTCATAGTAATTACAAATTCTAGGGTTTGGTCTATGCCCTTCCATTAACATGCAGTGAACTTCAGAAAGTCAGTTTATTTCTAATATATGTTTTTCATTTATGATATGGGAGAGTTCTAAAACTGAGTTCTAAGTGTTCTACCCTATCTTAAAATTTTCTGATCCTTTGTACTAAGAAGTGGCTTAAGAATACAGACTTTGTCAAGGGCTGTGAAAGGCTGCATATTTTGACCCTACTTATAAGCTAATAAGATAGGTTGTCACAGTTTTGTTGATACTGATGCAATATAAGAGACTCCTGGGATAGAAACAAATGATAATTTATTATTCTTCCCCAGGGTGATATAAAGAAGACGAGGCTGGCAGGGGATTTTGTGACAAAGAGAAAACCTAAGCTTAGAAAACCTAATTTAAAGAAAAAAATTATAATCAGAAATAAGCATGCTTCCCCAAAGAGAAACCTTATTTTGATCTTCAAAGGCTTTCACTACACAAACATCATTGGAAGATAGGGCAGAAAAATGCAGCCAGTGCCTCTGCTCAAAAGATAGGCAGAAATGTGAGACCCATACAGAATTGTCTCCAGGCAGACTTAGGCAAAAAATATTCATGGTATTAATATTGTTAGTATATTAGTATATAGAATGAGTTTTAATTAATACTAAATACATGGAATAACTTTTAATGTAAAACCGTGTCTGCATTTATGTTGTGTAAAATATCTACTACTAAAATACACTATTTAATTCAGTTCTGTCTGTATTTATTGTGAGTGGGTGCCTAGCGTACCCTTGAGCTACAAGGAATAGAAAATGAGTATAAGATATAGCCTGAATTCTCTCAAGAGGTAACAAGTAATATGTACTGAACATAGTAGTTGGGAAAATGTAATTATGTGTCAAACACATTTTCCAAATAGATACTAAAGAAAAACAGGGGAAAAAAAACGACATAATGTCTTTGACTAACCAGAAGAAAAGAAAGGAAAGAATTAAGTCAGGCAATAATGGTGATTAGAGTTCTACACAGTTAGACAGGAAGATGACCTCAGAATACCACATAATTTCATCACTATGTCCTGGGATATGAATCAGAATATCAGTCTGGGGTCTTGAGCATTAGTAATTGAGTCTCACAGAAACCCTTTTTTTTCTCTTTGAGACAGAGTCTCACTCTGTTGCCCAGGCTGGAGTGCAGTGTGGCAAGATCTTGGCTCACTGCAACTTCCACCTCCCAGGTTCAAGAGATTCTCCTGCCTCACCCTCCTGAGTAGCTGGGATTACAGGCGCCCACCACTACGCCAAGCTAATTTTTTATATTTTTAGTAAAGATGGGGTTTCACCATGTTGGCCAGGCTGGTCTCCAACTCCTGACTTGGTGATTCTCCCGCCTCAGCCTCCGAAAGAGCTAGGATTACAGATGTGAGCCACTGGGTCCAGCCCACAGAAACCCTTTAAGACAGACATCTAAAAAGCATTTTTGCTCCTATTGTATATGTAGAAACTGAAGTTCCAATGGGAAAAATGACTTGTTAGGGGTGATACAACTGTCGAGCCCAGAAACAGGCCTTTATCTTATGTTCACTATTTTCTAATCTCTTATTATTTTGAAATAACCACACCCATTTCTAACAATAAATAAGAAAGTCGTTTTGAAGCCCTGAAAAATTAAAATTGCATATTTTGTCATGTATAGTCATTTGTAATTAATACATGAAAACTTTACCAAAATACTAAAAACAGACAACTGACTTTAAAACAGTTGATGGAGAAGATCTGGAGGTGAGATTACCAGCTAAATATAATTAGAGAGACTGCAGGCGTGGTGTGTGTGTGTGTGGGTGTGTGGGTGTGTATATGTGTGTCTCCTGTGAGATCTATACCCTCTTACCTTCTTTTGTTTCTGTTTTTGCTCTATTTCAACAATCCTGAATATACAAACTGTGTTTGTATCATAGCGGAAGTATTTAATTTGCATTATGTTTTAACTAGGATATATTTTCTTCCATTGACCGAGCAAGTTGATGGTTAAGTGTGGATTTGGGGATGCCTATTTAATGTATTCATGGCCACATTAAAATGTACTGTCACTTAATAAAAATAATGAGACTTTTTTCTTAAATGGTTTCAAAGTGCTTTATTTTAGAATTTGTATGTGTTTTTGGATTTCTATTTCAATGTAAATCATCACAGGTTTTTCTTTCATATTTTGTAATTTAATGTGCCGGAAAGGAAATTGTGCATACCCTGTATATCAGGAACATCTCATTAAATCTGAGAAAACTGAGCCAGCATTAGATTTTAAATATTGTACTGTAAGACTAAATACCACAATTTTCTTTATTTCCTTCTTTCCTTACATCATTTCTTCATTTTCTTCTCTTTCCTTCTGCCTTCTTTTCTTCTTTCTCCCTTCCTCCCTCCCTCTCTTCCTTCCTTTCTCCTCCTCCCCCCCTCCCTCCCTCCCTCCCTTCCTTCCTTCCTTCTTTCCTTCTGTCCTTCCTTCCTTCTCCTCCCCCTCCCTCCCCCTTCCTTCCTTCTTTCCTTCTGTCCTTCCTTCCTTCTCTTCCCCCTCCCTCCCCCTTCCTTCCTTCTTTCCTTCCTTCCTTGTTTCCTTCCTTCCTCCTTCCCTCCCTTCCTTGCTTCCTTCCTCCTCCTCCCCCTCCCTCCTTCCCTTCCTTCCTTCCTCCTCCTCCCACTCCCTCCTTCCCTCCCTTCCTTCCTTCTCCTCTCCCTTCCTCCCTTCCTCCCTTCCTTCCTCCCATTCTCTCTTTCTCTCTCTTTCTTTCTTTTCTTTCTTTCCTATAGAATATGAGTAAAATGGGGATCATGTCTCTATTATATTAAATACATATTTTAAGGCAGTAAAAATGATGTATCATTTAACTTTGTGACTATATGAACTACCGCATGGATATATTGATAAAAGTTTGCAAGCTTGCGTTTTAATCAATGCTTTGCTTATGCAATGTCAACGTTCTGACAATTTTCAAGTTATGAATAACTATGGTGAAAGTTACTAAATTAATCACAAGATACATTCTTAATAAATTTGTACCTAATATTATGAGTAATATATTTAATGTATAAACTTAAATTTAAAAGCCAGATGCACTTACAGTGTAAATATATGTGAATTAATATTTTTAGATAATTCATGAAAATATTATTTGAAATTAGGTAAATATGTGTATGTATTAGGGTTCCCTAGAAGGACAGAACTAATAGGATAGATGTGTATATAAAGGGGAGTTTATTAAGGGTTATTGACTCACACGATCACAAGGCGAGGTCCCACAATAGGTCATCTGCGAGCTGAGGAGCAAGGAAGCCAGTCCGAGTCCCAAAGCTGAAGAACTTGGAGTCTGATGTTTGAGGGCAGGAAGTGCCCAGCACGGGAGAAAGATTTAGGCCAGAAGACAAAACCAGTCTAGTCTTCCCACGTTCTTCTGCTTGCTTTTATTCTGGCCTCGCAGGCAGCTGATTAGATTGTGCCCACCTAGGCTGAGGGTGGGTCTGCCTTTCCCAGTCCAATGACTCAAATGTTAATCTCCTTTGGCAACACCCTCACAGACACACCTAAGATCAATACTTTGCATCAATCAATCCGATCAAGTTGACACATAATATTAACCATCACAATGTGGTTTAATATTTTTAGATAATTCCAGAAAATGTTATTTTAAGTTTAGATAAATACATGTGGTTTAATATTTTCAGGTAATTCCAGAAAAATATTATTTTAAATTTGAATGTCAGACTTAATTAGGAAAGTCTTTAAAGCTACAGAGATTGATTGTGGAGTTATTCTTACAACTTTTTTTTCATAAAAATATTCATTTAACAAAATGTTGTTGGAAAATAAATCATAAAAAAGTTGGCAGGAAAACAGCTTTAGTAGAAAATTTTACTCTAAGGACAACATTTCCATATGTTTAATTAAAGTTGCAGCCACTGACATTTCTGTTTTTATAATTTAACTATATAAAAGTATGTATCCATGTGTGCCCAAACTCCATTAAAGGTGGTCATTTCCTGTATACCATATGCAACTGTGTTGTTTTAAGTGTGTGTGTATGGGCAGTGCAATTTATAATTTACATTTTGAAAACAATATAATAAAATAAAATATGAAAAATTATCCTGATAATAGAAAAATAAACATATTTACTTGTAATTAAGACACTCTGGATCAGTAGCAATTAGCAGAGTAGTATGATTTTTCTAATTATTTTGTTTAATGTAAGGACAAAATTAAGATAAAGACAATATGCTTTCAAAATGATTCTTAATTCAGGTTTTTCAGCAAGACGCATCAAAATTTTTTTCCCCAGATTGTACAGATTGGTGAATCTTTGCTTAAATATTAAGCATGTGGTATTTTTTTCTTCTTGATTCTTTGTTGTAGACAAATTCATACTTGTGCAATGAGTACCAGAAAAGAACTGTGGCCTGTGGCTATTGATTTTAAAACTTTAATCTAACATGAGTATTTTAGTAAAGTTAATAATTATTATTAATTATTGATGGGATCACTGGGTGAAAAGGGCCAACTGTGATCACAGTCACCAAAGATAAGGGGATTATCAATACCTTAATGAATAGCAAATTCAAAATAGTAAAAACAAAAAGAAATTACTTGCAGAGATCTTTTGTGTTAGCAAGTCGATTGTGGTGTCTGTAGAACTAAAATGGAAGGCTAGTCCATGGAATAACTATGGGATAAAGACTTTATGAAGGGCTAGGACTAGGGCAAGGTAAAAGAGGAGCCTGGAGCACACAATGTAGGGAGGCACAGGCATAACTCTGAGTGTGGGTGTCTCCTTAAATTTTCTTCTCTATGAATCTTTTTATCCTGGCTGGAAAGAGAAATTCTGTAGTCCTGACAGGAGAGAATAAGTGGAAGCCACAAGAATTGCTTCAACTCAAAAAACAGGTAAACCAAAGTAATACCACTTTCCTGGAGGGATTACAGGGATGAGTGCCACCATCAAGGATTTGTAGGAGGAAGAAGTGGAGTTCCCCATCATATTCTGCTTTAATTAGCCTATTTGGCCTTTGCAGAAGACAGCCTGATGTCAGAGAATGAAAGAGGATTTTTGTAAACTTAATCAGGTGGTGACCCCAGTCGTAGTTGCTGCTCCAATTGTGGTTTCATTGTAGGAGTAAATCAATAAATCTCATGACACTTGATTATTGATCTGGGGAATACTTTTTCTCTGTACCTTTTTCAAAAACGCCACCAAAAGCAATTCATTTTCAGCTAATGAGGCCAGCAATATATCTCCACTCTCCTATTACCTTAGCAGTATATCAATTCTCTAACTTTATGTTATAATCTAGTACACGGGTACCCTGAACACCTTTTTATTTTCATAGAATACCATCCTGGCCCATTATGTTGATGCTATTAATCTTATTGGACCTGATGAGCAGGAAGGAGATACTATTTTATATAATTTGCTAGACGACTGTACGCCAAAAGGTGGAAGATAAATTTCAGAAACACTTAATTACATATTTAATTTATATAGTTAATCAAATTTCTATTTTTTCTTGTGACATTTTTAATAATTTGTGTCTTACTAGTGTTTTTCCACTTATTTTAAATTTTTTGTACATAATAGCCCATAATATAATATTATAAACTCAACATCTTTAGAATTAGACTTACCATATATTACATATTTACCCTTCTTATTGTTGTTAATTCTTTCCTGCATTTAGTTAATTTTTCCATCTTGAGGAATATGTTCAATGTTTATGGCATTATGGGTGGACAGTTAAATGTTTTCATTACATTAATTATGCCATTCATTATATTCTGACTTGCATAATTACTGTTGAAATTCAAATGTCAGTCTAATTGTTTATTCTTTTGTTGTTAATATGTCTTTTTCTCTGGTGCTGTTTGGCATTTTATATTGGCTTTTATTTTTAGTAGCTATATTGCAATATCTAAGTGAGATTATCTTTGTATCTATTTTTCTTGTGGTGAAGATACAGTGATTTTCATATCTCTGACAAGATATCTCATCAATACTTATGACCTGTTTTTTTTTTTTAATCTCTTTCCAGTCTGGGACTCTAATTAGATAGATATTAGATCTTTGCAGCATAATTTCTATATCTCATAGTTTTTTTTTCTTCTTTTAAAAATCTCTGCTTCAGTTTACTGATCTTTTTCCATTCAACTAATACTCTGCTCACCTGTGTAAAATATTCTGTAATTCATCTCAATCACTTTATTTTTAATATCTAGGATTTCAAAGACTTTGATTTGATTTATTTTTTTGATAAGACTCCCTGTTCGCTGGCAAAATTTATATACTGTTTTCTATTTCTGCTGAAAATGTTTATCAAAGCTATTTTAAAGTCCATATCTGATAACTCTTGAGATCTGGGTCTTATACAGCTCTGCTTATATTGTCTAATTTGTAGGTACTGACTGTTGATAACTTTTAAATGGAATGCCCAGAAATTTTCTATAAGAAATTATAGAGATAGTAGAGGATATTTTTTCTTAAGGTAAGATTAACCCCATGCTTTAATAGGCATACATAATAGCAGGCCGATCTCAATTCAGTCAGAGACTGAGCCCTCAACGTGTTTCAATTTTTAAAGACTGATTCTTTTTCTGATTGGCCTTCAATAGTAGCATGCAATCCTTAAAGAATCTCAACAGAGAATATATGGTGTTTACCACTGCCTCTGCTTTTCAGATATTCTTGAACTCAATTATTCCTCTCCCCAGCAAGGTGAGACTTCCAAAAATTCCACTACATTTTCTTATATTTCTTAGCCACCATTTCTGGGAAGACTATGGATACATAAATGATTGGCATGTAAGAGAAGCAAAGAATGCACAACATACTTCTATATATGTTTGTTTGTTTCTCTTTAAAATATTAGTTCATCAAGCCTTTGCTGCCTTGACAGGCTCATAGTCAATTTTTGTGCTTTATCATCTTATGAGTTGGCAGGACTGCCTTTCATTGGCCAGCTACTTTCTCAGTCTGTAAATTTCCCAACGTCTCCAATCAAGTGTATTTGTATTTATTATCCTTCAACAAATACAGATTCTGAAGCATATGTCTTTCATATGGTGAATATTATTGCACTATACTTTCTTCTTTGCTGTATTACCATATTATATTGTTGATTTCTTGCATTCTATGATGAAATGGTGCCGAATTTAGGCAATAAAACTTTGACTATAATTACCAATTAATGTCATGGAGTTGGAAAATGTTGCAAAATAAGACTTGTGAAGACAGTTGGATTCTTTGAAAGACCAATTCCTGGCTTGTATATACTAAGTAGCAAGAGATCATTGAAAAAATCTCAACTAGGCAAAATATTTATTGACTAGTCACTTAAAATTACCATTGGGCTAGACTGAAGTTCCTTGGTTATTTATGATGTCTTTGTAATGATGTCCTAACAGAGTTCCTTAGGAAGTATTATTTTTAGGTTTCAAGACACAGATATAGTTTAAATTGTTTCTTTTTTATTGGCAAAGTTAAAGAGTGATTAGAAATATCATATTAGTATCCAGTTGCATAATTTATATTTCAAATTAGAAATATAACTGAAAATTTAAAAAAGTAAATAACATTTTTTATGTAGGTGTAAGTGAGTTTTGTAAGTATTAGCTCAGTGAACTCATCTGAAGCTTAGTTCAGGCTGCTTGTCAGGATTTTGTTGCCTTGACATACTTTTATTTTATTCCAGAAACCTAGAAACCAGCTTTAAAAATGTACAGGAAGAAGCAAACAGAAATGTTGAACTTTGTACTGAAGATGCTTTTGATATCCAAGTTATGTCCTGGGTGCAGGAAACAGTGCTATCTATAATTAAAGAAATGATGTCCATCACTCCTTCTGACCTGAAAAAATTCACTGTTAAAAAAATCAAACAAATACATTCATAAAATAATCTGCAATGTGTTTTAAGGCAGTTAACAATATTACAGTGGTAAAAGTTTTCACCAATAAGTCCAATGCATTAAAAGCAACTACCTTCATGCCTCACATTCACCTCGCCTCAAAAACAAAACAGAACAGAGCAAAACAAAATGAAATAAACCAAAATCCCGTTCTTTTAGCCTGTGTTCTCCAGACTGAATTGTAGATGTGACGCATAATAACATCTTATTATGCAGAATCTTAACATCTTACATGTGCAGAATACATATCCACATATTTTTCAATGTGCAAAATGCATGCCCACCTATCCTTCAAGGAAACTGTGAGGAGATTCTTGGTGGGAAACAAAACTGATGAGAGAAAGAACAACAAGAAACCTCTGTCTGTTGGGGCTTTATTTCCTCTAGTCTTCCTACTGCTTGGTAAGTTATCTGAAAAGAGAATACAACAGGAAGAGAGCATATTTTGGCCGGACGCAGTGGCTCATACCTGTAATCCCAGGACTTTGGGAGGCCGCGGTAGGCAGATCACTTGAGGCCAGGAGTTCCAGACCAGCCTGGCCAACATGGTGAAAACCCATCTCTACTAAAAATGCAAAAATTCACCAGATGTGGTGGCACAAGCCTGTAATCCCAGCTACTCAGGTGGCTGAGGCAGGAGAACTGCTTGAACCCAGGAGGCAGAGATTTTGGTGAATGGAGATCACACCACTCTACTCCAGCCTGGGCTACAGAGTGAGACTCTGTCTCAAAAAAAAGAAAGCATATTTTGTACACATCTAAGTTGTTACTCAGGTTCTATTTCCTCCCAATGTTTATTTAAATATTGCTGACATAAGTACTTTATTACTCAACATACTTATTTGAAGCCTATTCTGTATAATACTACAGCACAATGTGCTTTCATTCATTACAGCAGCTGCTTCATTTCCACAACTTATCTCCTTGTTATGAAAGGTTTAATTTCTATAACAATTCTCATTTTTACTTATACTGTCTCTGCTTTTTTGACTGAGCTCGGACTGATACATTGATGATAATTAAGAAAATGGTGAAACTTTTGTGGATGTATGAATGAATAGTAGGATTTTTCGCAAGTTGAACTGAAAATCAACCATTGTGAATCTAGATTTATTTTATTTTATTTTATTATTGTTATTTTTTGAGACGGAAGTCTCACTCTGTTGCTCAGGCTGGAGTGCAGTGGTGCCATCTCAACTCACTGCAAACTCCGCCTCCCGGGTTCAATTGCTTCTTCTGCCTCAGTAGCTGGGTTTACAGGCGCTTGCCACCATGCCCAGCTAGTTTTTGTGTTTTTAGTAGAGACGGGGTTTCTCCATGTTGGCCAGGCTGGTCTCAAACTCCTGACCTCAGGCGATCCGCCCTCCTCAGCTTCCCAACATTCTGCGATTACAGGCATGAGCCACCGCATCTGGCCCTGTATAAAGTTTTAAATAAAACATATATAAAATAACTTAAAACTGCAACATATAGGATTTAATCTTAAGCAAGAAAGGTACCACTAAAGATGGCAGAACAGGAAGCTCATGTAAACTGATCTCCATGTTAAAGAAGCAATCCCCAACAAGATAACTGGATAGTATATTTGCCCAACAATATTTTAAACTTATATTTAATAATCACTTTCTAATACCAAGGATGGATGAATTTTGGCTCTGGTTGTTTCATAAGTAAGATTGATTCAAACATCAACTTTTCAGAGTATGTCTTGATAAAATGCATTATTGGAAAATTATTTTAAAAACTTGAAAAGAAGAGGCCCTAGGAGAAAAAAAATTAGTATTTTAGGTCACATTTTAGATCCAGATGGCTTAATGATAAACTATCTTCTTGTATATCTATTAAATAATTAAATATTCAGATGCTAAGGATATACAAAGACAAAATTACGTTTCTTTTTAGCAACAAAAAAAATGCATGGATCCATAATAGCTTTAGTTACACAATGGTTTCTTTGTGACAATAATTTCAGAAGTTTTTGATTCATTGATTTCATTAAAGGTTAAGAGAATAAAGCTTAGGACTCACAGTGACTTAGACATATTCTGGGGTTTTCAAAGAGCATTGCCGCTGGTTAAGATAAAGGCACAGAATGTGCTGAGATCAATCTGAACCTCACCGGCACAGAATCAACAACATGACACAAACCCTTTCAGTGCAAGTGTCCTTTCATGCTGGAAAAGTGAAATGCTGAAAGTTACTGGTCCTCTTTATCAGTGTATTTACATGAAAAATCCAACCAAATCAAATATATCTTCTTTACGATTGTAAGTTAGGTAGTCTTTCAGTAAAAGCATAACCAAAATTTATATTATTACATGGGACTTTCTAGGCTGAGGCAGGATCTCTACTGAGCAAGTAGAACATATGAAGAAGATGATATTCACGGTTGGGAGAATGGAAGTGGTTGTGGTCATTTCCAAAGTGGTTCTGACTGTGGACAGAGGAAAGAGTAGGGGGAGTAATTTGGTTCTTTAGAAAATCGTACTTAACCTAGTAGAAGGAAGTGCTCATTCACAGGACTCATTGTTAACAGAAGATTGCACTTTTCAAATGGAGGCACTGCTGGCATTCATAAGCAGACACTTTGCTCTGTATGCTATTATTAATAATAGAAATAATAAATTATTAATAATAATAACTTATTAGTAATAAATAGAATGCGTGCCACAAAGTTGCAAAGTATTATTGATCATGATATAGTAATATTTTCTCACAATTTTTTTGCATTAAAAGTTTAGTGATGCTACATAAAACTCTAAGCCTCTCTTTACTCCACGTGAAATAAAATGTCATAACGAAATTGATTTTGTGAAACGTCTTAGAGGATAAATTAACTGGGGAATATGGATAAATTAGATCTTGCAACCTGCTGTGTGGCTTATTTAATGTTGGCCCACAGTTAGTTTGCATGGCTGATTTGAAGTTTCTTTCCTCAAATCCAGTGTAGAGACAGGTAACACCAAATCCCAATTTTCCTGTGGATCAAATGAGAAATGTTACTGGGAGAAATTTGCTCATGCCCTGAAGGAGAAGTGTTGTGAGTGTGTGTATGTGTGCATGTGAGCATGTGTGTATGTTCCTTCCAATTAGTGTTCAAGCCGGATTTTAGCTGAGTTTGAACTTGTTTTTCATTCTTAATTGTTTCTCTGTTCATATGTTCTGTACTTCTAGCCCATTCCCAGTGAGCTGTTCTGAACATAGAACTGAGCCACAGGAATTTTTGAGTATGTAAATGAAACCCTTCATCAAAGCAGCTCCATGGAGAGGGAAAAGAGCAAAGGGGAAGATTCAGACATGAATTCAGCTAATAAAGCCTATGGGGAGTTCTGCTTATAGTTGGCTCTTGTATTGGGCTAAAAAAAATGTTTCATTTGATGTGGAATATCATGGCTTAGTTGTAAATGAGTTTCAGTCAGTTTCATATTTACTGGTGTTTGTGTGTGTGCACGTGTGTGAGGGTAGGGGTGTGTGGACCTTCGGGCTTAAATAGCTATACAGTTTTCTTTCTTCCCCCAAACATATTTTAGAAATGAAAAGGGGAATATTTTAAACAGATGCCTAGTAAACATACCTATTTTAAAAACAGTTATTGCTGTTTGATATATTTTGAAAATTATTACCATTTATTGCATATTTTATAATGCAGAAACTTTTGCAGTAAATACTCATATTCTTTAACAGTTCTTATTAATGTATTACTAGACCTAATGTAGCCATATACTTTCCTCTAGGATACATGCATGTAAGACCCTTTAGATTACATGTGGTAATACAACATAAGACTTGCATGCATTTTTTTTACTTTTTATAATCTAATCAATAGGTTGTAAGAAAGGTTAAAGTTAATGCAGATTATGACTGATATAAGCTATAGTATTAGGTATTATCAGTTACAATGACTATTTTAAAATGTTAGCAAAGGAGGCCATCACAAGTGAATTTAATGTACTTAGCTATCTGCCAGGTGAACCATAATAAATGAGGCAAAGGATTCAAAACATTAGTCAATTTCACTTTGGTATTTACTATCACCTTATAAAAATGGTGAATAATGGTGCATTAAAAATGAAATCACAAAATGAATGTACCTCATAATCTATTTTCATACCACTTTGTTGCTACTAGGTATTTCATACTGATTTGGTGCTTCCTATCTTATTCTTTTTTCTAAAGTCCTTTTATAATTAAAATTACTTTTTAATTTTTTTGGGTTTTAGACTTACTAATGTCCGTTCTATATGTACACTTGTCTCTAGACAGTTGTCTTACAAAATATTTTGAAACGCATTGCATCTTGCAAAGAGGAAAAACCCACATTTGTCTGATATATTCTATTAGCCTTTATTCATCTACCATGATTGTAAGCAGTTCCAAAAATTCTGGAGCTAAACGTTTGCTCTTTTAATGCTTTCTTTCCCATATTAGATAACATGAAATATCTCAAAACCTAAAAGTTGTCTGGAATTTGGTTTTTACTTAAATAATAATGTGTCAATCACAAGACTTCTGCAACCTTTCTACACTATTTTAGTAGCCACCATGTTCTTCTAAGTTTGAAAGTAAATAAAATGAGAAAGACAAGTAAAAGGAAAACAAAATAATGTATTTTCATATATTTAGACATATCTTGACTTTTTATCCCCAATCACGGGTTACTTAACAGGACAGAAAGCTCAATGATAGTGATTTTACTTAAGGTTTCTTTCTATTTGGGCTTAAAAATGTATCCTTTTGAATTCAAAAATGAGATATCTATGCTTCTGTATAGAAAACTAATGTATCTTCATCACTGTTTTCTGTAGAAAGAGATAATATGACCATTTCTTTCAAAAATTGGAAGAAGGAACAAACACACAAAACTGAGAATTATACAAGATCATATATGATTAAATTTTAAAATGAGCATGAAAGATAAGTGCTATATAAATTCATAGAAAGTGAAAATCAAAATGAAATGGAGAGTGTAGAAAAGGATGACTTTTTATCCTTTGCTATTTCTAAAGGAGGAGAGAATTCTTTCTCAGGACAGGGCAATAGCACCCTTTGTAGTAATCACATACAGTTACCTCTGTGTGGGAACCTGGTATCCTGGCAAATTTTCATAATGAACACAATCATGTGGGCTTTCGATTTCAGAATAAAGTTATTTACACAAAAAGTTATATCTCCTTAAAAATAGGAGTTTCTAAAATTCCTTTACATTTTATATTGGGCTCATTTAACGGTTGCTCACCATTGTCATGTGACAAAATTTGTGCCTACATCTAGTTCCTTTGCTTGCCTTTTTTTGATGCTGTATTTAGCTGGAAACTTCTATAATTGAATTGCACTCAAATTTATTACCATTAAAATAGTTTTTCATCTTTACATATTTTTATTATTTGGTTAATCCAGTCAGTTTTATATATAAGATTTAACATGTGTAATATAAATTTTTGTCTTTACATGTGTAATATAAATTTTTACAATATGGTGAATTTTATTCTTAGTTTGTGATGAAATAGGATTTATCACACACACATAAAGTTCGGTATCTATTGATATGAAATGTCATCTTGCTATAAATTTTAATTAAAAGTTAAGTTCCCCACTTTATTTTGGATTTCTTATTTTCTTGCAACATTTTTGACCACCTGACTCAATTTTTTAAGATATTACACATATGTATATAACAAGGTACTGTTAGAACCATCATGATAGATATTGTTTAAAAGGGATTCCACGTATTTATTTGGGAATGATCACGATAATTGATATTAAATGTCATCTTGCTATACATTATAAATAAAATAGTTAAGTTCCCCAATTTACTTTGGCTTTCTTGTTTTCTTTCAACTATTTTGACTACTTGACTCAATTTTTTTGAGATGTGACACATATAACAAAGAAATGTTGGAATCGTAATGATAACGATAGATATTGTTTAAAAGGTATTCCACATATTTATTTAGGAATGATCATGCTATTTTTTAATATTTGAAAAGATTTGTTCTGAGCCAAATATGAGTGACCATGGCCTGGAGCACAGTCTCAAGAGGTCCTGAGAGCATCCACCCAAGGTGGTTGGATTGATGCATGGTTTTATATGTTTTAGACAGAAATAAGACATAAACCAATACATGTGAGGTATACACTTGTTCAGTCTAGAAAAGCAGGAAACCTCTAAGTAGGGGCATACAGGTCATAGGTGAATTCAAAGGTTTCTTTTTGGGCAAGTTTCTGTTGAAAGAGTTATTATGTAACTCTTGTTGAAAGAGTTATTACCTAAAAATATGGAATCAATATAAAGGAGTGTCTGGGTTAAAAAGAGGTTGTGGAGACCAAGTTTCTTATTATGTAGATGAAGTCTCTTAGGTCCTATTCAAACCTTCAAATGTGCTAGACTCTCAGTTAATCTCTTCATTATTGGGATGGCCTGAAAAGGGAAAGAGTTAGTTATGTTAATAGAGATACGTTATAGAAGCAAATTTTCCCCCACGAAATATGTCTTTGCAGGGCCATTTCAAAATACACCAAAGAAACATATGGGGTAAAATATTTTGATTTTTTTATTTATCTGTCATGTGATATGCCTGAATCAGGTTGGAAAGTAAAGCCATATTATATAGCATTAAATAACCCATATGATGTGATTTTTACGGCTTGTAGTGAATGACTTCCCAGGCCTGTTAGATAGGTATTTGGGCAAAAGAATAATATGGTTTGGCTGTGTCCCCACCTAAATCTCATCTTGAATTCCCACGTGTTGTGGGAGGGACCCAGTGGGAGGTAATTGAATCATGGGGGCAAGTCTTTCCCATGCTGTTCTCATGATGGTGAATAAGTCTCATGAGATCTGATGGTTTTAAAAAGAGGAGTTGCCCTACACAAGTTTTCTTTCTTTGCCTGCTGCCATCCATGTAAGACATGACTTGCTCCTCCTTGCCTTCTGCCATGATTGTGAGGCCTCCCCAGTCACATGAAACTGTAAGTACAATTAAACCTCTTTCTTTTGCAAATTGCCCAGTCTTGGGCATGAAAATGGACTAATACAGAGGGAGAGAAAAAGAAGATCAGAGTTTAGTCTTGAGTCTCCTCTCTTGGCCAAAAATTATTCCATAAATTGCATGTGCAAGCCAACAAATGGCAGGGAGTACTATGACGCTAGGAAGGCTCATTCTTACAGTAGTCCAATGGATGTCAATAGTTTCAATATTACCAATGTTGGGTCCCAGGGAAGGACACAGTCTGACCTTGTTTAATAGCTAATTATTTAAGAGGCAAGAAAGAATCAGGCCTAGAAGTCAGCCTGAAAAAAAAATCTTGGCTCAGATCTACTATGCAAGCTATCTTGATCTAGGCCTTCCATGTTTTTTTTTTTTTTATTTTTTGACTCAATCATGACATTTATGAGAGATAGATAACAATAATATAATGATAAGCATCATAAAAATAGTGAATATTTGGTGTTTAAGAAAGTCGTAGATAGAACTGGAGGACAGTAAACAACCTAACCAGCCAAAACAAAAGAAAAATCCCCTGAATGTAACATCATATCTTTAATCAGACATACAATATGTTTGCCTTCCTTAGCAAGGTCATTTGCTTATTTGAGAACCGTAGCACAGTATTAGTCCATTCTCACTCTGCTATGAAGAAATACCGCAGACTGTGTAATTTATAAAGGAAGGGGTTTAACTGGCACACGATTCCACAGGGTTTGGGAGGCCTCAGGAAACTTACAATCATGGAGGAAAGAGAAGAAACCATGTCCTTCTTCCCATGGCAGCAGCAAGGAGAAGTGCAGAGAGAAGTGGGTAAAAGCTGTTTATAAAACCATCATGTCTTGTGAGAATTCACTCTCATGAGAACAGCATGGAGGTAACTGCCCCCATGATTCAGCTACCTCCCGCTGGGTCCCTCGGACAACACGTGGGGATTATGGGAACTACAATTGAAGAAGAGATTTGGGTGAGGACACAGCCAAACCATATCAAGCACCAACATTAAATCAGACTCCATCAAATTTAATTTCTCTTCTGGTCAATTGGTGTCTATAGGTGTGACATCCTGAGGAGCGTATAAATCAATTTTGAGAGCTACTTGATGCTCAGTACCTAAATTGTCATAGAACTTGTTTACGATAGTCAAATCTATTTTCCCCACCACTTTTCTGTTACACCATACAGTGGTATTTGGAGGAGAAAAAGAGGTTATTTTCCTGGCGAAAAACAGGGAATGAGGAAAAGATCCCCTATTCAATAAATGGTGCTGAGATACCTGGCTAACCAAATGCAGAAGATTCAAACTGGGTATTTTCCTTACACCATATACAAAAGTTAACTCAAGATGGATTAAAGACTTAAATGTAAAACCCAAAAGTATAAAAACCCTGGAAGACAACCTAGGCAACACCATTTAGGACACAGCATGTGTGAAGATTTTATGACAAATATGCCAAAAGCAATTGCAACAAAAGCAAAAATTGATAAATGGGATTTGATTAAACTAATGATCTTCTGCACAGCAAAAGAAACAATCAACAGAGGAAATAGACAACCTACAGAATGGGAGAATTTCTTGTAGACTTTGCATTCGACAAAGGTCTGATATCCAGTATCTATAAGGAAATTAAACAATTACAAGAAAAAAAAAACAAACAACCCCATAAAAAAGTGGGCAAAGGACATAAACAGACACTTTTCAAAAGAAGACATACATGTGACCAACAGTCATATGAAAAAAGCTTAACATCACCAATCATTAGAGAAATGCAAATCACAACCACAATGAGATACCATCTCACACCAATCAGAACGGATATTATTAAAATGTCAAAAAATCACAGACTCTGGTGAGGTTGAAGAGAAAAAGGAATGCTAATACAGTGTTGGTGGGAGTGTAAATTAGTTCAACCATTGTGGAAGATAGTGTGGCAGCTCCTCAAAGAGCTGAAGACTTTTGACCCAAACCTCAAATACCACTTGACCCAGCAATCCCATTACTGGGTATGTAAAGAAAAGAATATAAATCATTCTCTTATGAAGACACACACATGTGTATATTTATTGCAGCACTATTCACAATAGCAAAGATATGGAATCAACCTAAATGATAGGTCAGTGATAGCCTGGATAAGGAAAATGTGGTACGTATACACAATGACAGACTGGATAAGAAAATGACAGACTGGATAAAGAAAATGTGATATACATACACAGTGGAATACTCGGCAGCCATGAAAAAGAAAGAGAGCATGTCCTTTGCAGGGACATGGATAGAGCTGGAAGCCATTATTCTCAGCAAACTAATGCGGGAACAGAAAACCAAACAGCATCTTCTCATTTATAAGTGGGAACTAAATGACGAGAACACATGAACACAATGAGGGGAACAACACACACTGGAACCTTTTGGACGGTGGAGGGTGGGAGGAGAGGGCAGATCAGGAAAAATAACTAATTAAGCCATTATTAGGACTAGGTTTAACACCTGAGTGATGAAATAATCTGTAGAACAAACCCCATGACACAAGTTTACCTATATAACAAACCTGCACTTGTAGCCCTAAACTTAAAAGAAAAGTTTTAAAAAAAGAGATTTTGTTACAGGATAAGTCATGTAATTCTACAGTGTTATTTTGTTGTCCCTCCCAACAAAAATGGCCCTTTCGCATATACCAAATGGTATGTATCATGTGGGTGGGTATTAGCAGCCAAGTAAGGACTCAGGAGGCAAAGCCCTTTATTTTGTTTCTATGTGTAGGCATTTGTGTGCCTCCTTGATTTAGAGGATCTAAATTAATTTTATCTCTCAAAACCGACCCTTAAAATCTCACATGCCCACCTCTTTTGCAATTGAGTCTGAAAAGTTGCCTATATAGTTTTAGCAGCAGGGCGTTAGCAATGAGAATAGTCCAGGCCCAGTGGGATTCGAAATGGTTTTTAAATTTTGAAGATATCAGGTAGAGAGAGAAAGGTAATCTTGTTGTTTTACCCAATTTTGTAAGCTACAGATAGACTTACCAATGTTTTAAACAAAAAGGACATAAACCCTGCCTAGGTCTGATAATGAAAAAACAAGGAGAGTCATGGGTAGCTAAACATTTAAATTATTCAGTATTAAGGCATAGAACAAATTATATTATTTTATATAGAGGAAAATGTATTAAATGAGTTTTGTTTTCATACAGGGTCTTGCTTTTTTGCATAGGCTGGAGTGCCATGGCATGATGATGGCTCACTGTAGCCTCAAATTTCTGTGCTCCAGTCAGGCTCCCAGCTCAGCCCCTCAAGTAGCTGGAGCTACAGGCACATACAACCACGCCTGGCTAATTTTAAAGAAAAAATTTTTGTAGAGGCGTGGTCTCATTATGTTGCCCAGGCTGGTCTCAAACTCCTGGCCTCAAGTAATTCTCCTGCCTCAGCCTCCTAAAGTACTTGGATTATAGGTGTGAGGCACCGTGCCTGGCGTATTAAATGAGTATGCCTTCATATACATGCCTGGCCCAGTGTCCTACGAAAGCAGTTTACTTTTACTGTCATCTCCCAGGTCTGAAGATAGGGTTTTGGTGAACTTGAATTTGGTGCCGGATGCCAGTGTTGAAATTTAACATTCAGTAGAGATCAGTGTTCCTTTTTAGATGAGGTATGTGTACCTAGGAGTCAAAGCCCTGCAACTTCATAGCACAAGTGTTAGTTAACAATATATGATAAACACCTTTTTTTGAAGGGGGCTGGAGAGAATCTCTCAATTGATGTTTAGACATCAGGCTGCAGGTGGTAATACTGGAGTTTATGACTTAGCTGGAAGTTGAAACTAATAATTACACAAAGTTTCATGAATAAAATAAATGAATTATCCAATATATACACAATATATCATAAAAAACATAAAAGTCTCCTTAACTTTAAAGTCATAACACTTACCTATACAATTAAAATAAAAGAAGGAATCTTACTTGTAATTCCTCAGGGTACAGTTCTTTACAATTTTATACTCAGATAACCAGTAAAGCAACTATCCATGACTCGGTATTTTGTTATGCTGTGGATTAAACTGTAAATCAGAGTTTATTTTCCTTTAAATGAACTTTCCTAAACATTCAATGAATATAAAAAAGCCTAATTCATTCACTTTATATAATATCATGATTCCTTTGACAAACAGGGATTAAAATCGTCAAGCCATTGTACTTGTCAACGTTATGAAACCATATGGTATTTAAGTGCTCACTAAGGTAGTCCACCTCATTAAGAACTCAACAAAGCAAATTCAGCAGCAACTTACATTTCAAGAGGAAAACACTTTTGTATCTTGCCACAGTTAAAGACTCAATAAGATTGATCTTCTGTATACTCTCTCAAGATACCAAAAGAAAGTACTTACTGAATTCATCAAGTGAGTTATATTGCCATCACTTCATGTACTTAAAAGCTGAAGATGCATTGTATGACATAAAATTGTCTAATTCTCTTTAAACTGTAAAATAAAAAGTTGTGAATATTTTTACTTACTTTAGCAAGGTACTTTTAGATACTTTTATTTTACTTTTTATACTAATTTGCTTTTAATAATATTAGCATAATTTTAGATACCTTTCCTATTTCTGCTTATAAGTTAAAATTTACTTATTTTTTAAACAAAAACAATTAATTCCCTTTACATACACACAGACAATAACCATATCATCCTTTAGCCACCAAACTCTCTTTCAATATTTCTTCAGAGGAATTTTCTTAAATATTCTATACTTGCTATGTCTGCACTCTAATGCAATATTCACTTCTCGACTCATAGCAATATTCCATCTGCCCCTAAACCCAAAACAGTTACTGTACGAAAGGTCTCTAATGAAGTATTATGATCAAACAAGTGAATACAATATTACTAATCTTATTTTACTTAAACTGGACTGCATATTTAACACTGTTGAAATTTTTTCTCTACTGTCATTTCTTTCCTTTACTTTAAGATCATCCTCAGCTGTTTCCTCTGTATTGATGGTCAATCCCACGCAAACTTTTCCAATGGCCACGCTTCTTTTTCTGTTGTTCCATAAAATTTAATAGTGCAAATGACTAATTCTTAGTTACCTGTTTTCTCACAATACTTTTTTTCTAGATTACTACTTATTTGGTAGTAATTTCTTAGTTTATGTCTTCTCAGGGATTCAGATTTCATTTTTGTAATGACCAATCTTAAGTCAACCATTTTCATGAAACATCTTTGGTCTCATTGCTTTTTCAAACTCTAAATTTGATATTTAATAGTATTTCCACCAATAAGTTGTGCAACTTCCTGTGTTTACTTACTGTTTTGACACATCTGCACAAAATAGAAACCAAGTAATCATCTTTAGTTTTTTTATTCTTGAATCTTGTGAGGTTCTGAATTATTTCCTTCTTCATGATAAATTTAATTCAGAAACTTATTGTAACTCACTTAGGTTTATTAGAGTAGCCTCCCATATTTATCTCCATTTTCTTTCTTCTTGAAGCCATCCTCCATAGAGTTTAATAAAACACAATTTTCCCCATGCCATTACCTTGGTTAAATACAAGTTTTGCTCTTCAGAGCCTAATCAATAAACACTGTACTCTTTATCGTCACATTATACCAGATCTTTATCATCTGGTCTTGCCCAACTGTCGTCATTCTGGCATTCACTTCTATTAATTCTTAACTGCATGCATTTCCACGATATAGCTGTGCGAGTCAAGCTTTCCATATCTACTATCTGGACCTTCTTTTTTTTTCTCCCTTTCCAATTACAGAGCAAAATAAAGCTACCTATGAGCCAAGATGTCTTTAAGTATATTCAGCAAATTAACCACTACATCCTCTTTCCAAAGACCATATTGCCTATATCCTTAGCTATCTCACTGTATTGCCAAAGTCACGGGTTAGACTTTTCCAACTTAAGGTCCATGAGTTATGCTTACTCATCTTTGTATTCTCAGTGCTTAATATATAATATTATAATATATAATGGCTTCCAAGTATTTCTTGATAAACTAAAAAATACATGTTCTAAATCTTATACTTACAAGGTCTAAGCATATGAAAATATGAAATACTTTAAAAAATTGACCAGTTGTTGGTTAACATTGAGTGTCAACTTGATTGGATTGATGGATGCAAAGTACTATTCCTGGGTGTGCCTGTGAGGGTATTGCCAAAGGAGATTAGCATTTGAGTCAGTGGATTGGGAAGGGCAGACCCACCCTCAATCTGGGTGGGCGCAATCTAATCAGCTGCCAGCACAGCCTGAATAAAACCAGGCAGAAGAACATGAAAAGACTAAACTGGTTTAGTCTTCTGCCCTACATCTTACTCCAGTGTTGGATGCTTCCTGCCCTCGAACATCAGACTCCAAGTTCTTCAGCTTTGGGACTTGGACTGGTTTCCTTGATCCTCAGCTTGCAGATGGCCATTTGTGAGACCTCACCTTGTGATTGTGTGAGTCAATATCCCTTAATAAACTCCCCTTCATATATATATATATATATGTACTTCATATGTATATGAAGTATTATGATCAAACAAGTGAATACATTGCTAATCTTATTTTACTCATGTTTGTACACTCAGTGCTTAGTATATAACACTTCTATGATTAGTAAAATAATATATACATATAAAGATCATATTATTTCTGCTCTTCTAGTGAACCCTGACTAATACAATAGTATGCCACAATGCTAAGTAGCAAATAGATTTAATAGCATATCACAGAAAATACAATAAAATTAAAGTAAAATAGTAATTGTGATTCTCTTTGGAAAATACAATAGGGACACAGACAGTTTCACTTATTGTATTACATGTAGTTATAGAAGATATATTTAATATTTAATATTCAAGCTACTTATTCAGTTAATGACAAAATAAAGTGATAACAAGTAGTCTATATTTTTATATTTTTATAAATAAAATTATAAATAACTTCTATATGACAGACGAGGGAGAATAGTGAAAATAGATGTGATAAACACATCATATTTCTCTGTCAATTACATGCATTTGCTTAATTTTCTTTTTTTTATAATTTATTTTTTATTTTATTATACTTTAAGTTCCAGGGTACATGTGTACAATGTGCAGGTTTGTTACATATGTATACATGTGCCATGTTGGTGTGCTGCAACCATTAACTCATCATTTACATTAGGTATATCTCCTAATGCTATCCTTCCCCGCTCCCCCACCCCACAATGGGCCCCAGTGTGTGTGATGTTCTCCTTCCTATGTCCAAGTGTTCTCATTGTTCAGTTCGCACCTATGAGTGAGAATATGCGGTCTTTGGTTTTTTGTCCTTGCAATAGTTTGCTCAGAGTGATGGTTTCCAGCTTCATCCATATCCTTACAAAGGACATGAACTCATCCTTTTTTATGGCTGCATAGTATTCCATGGTGTATATTTGCCACATTTTCTTATCCAGTCTATCATTTTTGGACATTTGGGTTGGTTCCAAGTCTTTGCTATTGTGAGTAGTGCCGCAATAAACATACGTGTGCGTGTGTCTTTATAGCACCATGATTTATAATCCCTTGGTTATATACCCAGTAATGGGATGGCTGGGTCAAATGGTATTTCTAGTTCTAGATCCTTGAGGAATTGCCACACTGTCTTCCACAATGGTTGAACCAGTTTAGAGTCCCACCAACAGTGTAAGAGTGTTCCTATTTCTCCAAATCCTCTCCAGCACCTGTTGTTTCCTGACTTTTTTTTTTTTTGACACGGAGTCTCGCACTGTCGCCCAGGCTGGAGTGCAGTGGTGCCATCTCAGCTCACTGCAAGCTCTGCCTCCCTGGTTCACCCCATTCTCCTGCCTCAGCCTCCCCAGTAGCTGGGACCACAGGTGCCCACCACCACGCCCAGCTTATTTTTTATATTTTTAGTAGAGACAGAGTTTCACTGTGTTAGTCAGGATGATCTCCATCTCCTGACCTTGTGATCCGCGTGCCTTGGCCTCCCAAAGTGCTGGGATTACAGGCATGAGCCACCACGCCTGGCCATTTCCTGACTTTTTAATGATCACCATTCTAACTGGTGTGAGATGGTATCCCACTGTGGTTTTGATATGCATTTCTCTGATGGCCATTGATGATGAGCATTTTTCATATGTTTGTGGGCTGCATAAATGTCTTTTGAGAAGTGTCTGTTCTTATCCTTTGCCCACTTTTTGATGGAGTTGTTTGTTTTTTTCTTGTAAATTTGTTTGAGTTCATTGTAGATTCTGGATATTAGCCCTTTGTCAGATGAGTAGATTGCAAAAATTTTCTCCCATTTTGTAGGTTGCCTGTTCACTCTGATGGTAGTTTCTTTTGCTGTGCAGAAGCTCTTCAGTTTAATTAGATCCCATTTGTCATTTTTGTCTTTTGTTGCCATTGCTTTTGGTGTTTTAGACACGAAGTCCTGTCCCATGCCTATGTCCTGAATGGTATTGCCTAGGTTTTTTCTGGGGTTTTTATGGTTTTAGGTCTAACATTTAAGTCTTTAATCCATTTTGAATTAAATTTTTTATAAGGTGTAATGAAGGGATCCAGTTTCAGCTTTCTACATATGGCTAGCCAGTTTTCCCAGTACCACTTGTTAAATAGGGAATCCTTTCCCCATTGCTTGTTTTTGTCAGGTTTGTCAAAGATCAGATAGTTGTAGACATGTAGTATTATTTCTGAGGGCTCCGTTCTGTTCCATTGGTCTGTATCTCTGTTTTGGTACCAGTACCATGCTGTTTTGTTTACTGTAGCCTTGTAGGATAGTTTGAAGTCAGGTAGCTTGATGCCTCCAGCTTTGTTCTTTTGGCTTAGGATTGACTTGGCAATGTGGGCTCCTTTTTGGTTCCATATGAACTTTAAAGTAGTTTTTTCCAATTCTGTGAAGAAAGTCATTGGTAGCTTGATGGGAATAATATTGAATCTATAAATTACCTTGGGCAGTATGGTCATTTTCATGATATTGATTCTTCCTATCCATGAGCATGGAATGTTCTTCCATTTGTTTGTATCCTCTTTTATTTCGTTGAGCAGTGGTTTGTAGTTCTCCTTGAAGGGGTCCTTCACATCCCTAGTAAGTTGGATTCCTACGTGTTTTGTTCTCTTTGAAGCAATTGTAAATGGGAGTTCACTCACAATTTGGCTCTCTGTTTGTCTGTTATTGGTGTATAAGAATGCTTGTGATTTTTGCACATTGATTTTGTATCCTGAGACTTTGCTGAAGTTGCTTATCAGCTTAAGGAAATTTTGGGCTGAGACAATGGGGTTTTCTAGATATACAATCATGTCATCTGCAAATAGGGACAATTTGACTTCCTCTTTTCCTAATTGAATACCCTTTATTTCTTTCTCCTGCCTGATTGCCCTGGCCAGAACTTCCAACACCATGTTGAATAAGAGTGGTGAGAGAGGGCATCCCTGTCTTGTGCCAGTTTTCAAAGGGAATGCTTCCAGTTTTTGCCCATTCAGTATGATATTGGCTGTGGGTTTGTCATAAACAGCTCTTATTATTTTGAGATACATCCCATCAATACCTAATTTATTGAGAGTTTTTAGCATGAAGGGCTGTTGAATTTTGTCAAAGGCCTTTTCTGCATCTATTGAGATAATCATTTGTTTTTTGTCTTTGGCAGAGACATATCAAAAAAAGGAGAATTTTAGACCAATATCCCTGATGAACATTGATGCAAAAATCCTCAATAAAATACTGGCAAACCGAATCCAGCAGCACATCAAAAAGCTTATCCACCATGATCAAGTGGGCTTCATCCCTGGTATGCAAGGCTGGTTCAACATATGCAAATCACTAAACGTAATCCAGCATATAAACAAAACCAAAGGCATTTGCTTCATTTTCTTTGTAAAATATTTATTTTTCAATTAAAGTAATTTAATTTAAAATATTTACATTTTTTCTATCTAAAATATTTTGTTTATTTAGTTAAGAAAGAAATGTCAAATAAATAAAACTCTAAAGGATAATTCAAAAAAAATTTCCAAAATTTTGTAACAAATGAAGACATTTAAAGATTCTTCTAAGACTAATAGCGTGACTACATAGCACAAGAGGCACTGAGATTATTTTAAATCAATATTACAACTATAGAATATCATTTGCCTCCCTACTTTGAAAGACAAGGTTATTAACTCATCAACCTCTCTTTCCAATTACTGACAAATTCATTTTGATTTTTATATTGTAAATGTATCTGTTATTAATCCTATCAGAACTCTTTGTGCATAAGTATATGTCATTTTATGTGAATATCTCCTTTTACCTCCTACGTTTGTTTTATTTCTCAATTTTGACCTTATATTTTTTATTATACATTGTTACCAACTTTCCTATAATTTAAAAAATTTATATGAATTTTCTGATTTTTTTATTGTGTTCTTGGATTCCATAACTGGATAATTCTCTTTCTTCCTCTTTTCTCTCCCTTAATCACCACCTTTTTTCTCATAATACATTTGCATATAGTTAACACTTTATTTGTTTTTAATACTATGTGTACAAAGCTTTTTGCAGAACTCAAATTTGCTTTGATATTATGGGACAGTTTTTCAAATCCCCAACTTTTCTAAGTCAGTTAGATTCCCTTTAGAGCTATTCTTTGATATATTTTATCTTTTAGACATAAAATTTTTATTGATATTCTTGGTGAAGAAGAGAGCAAAACTCATTAGGTGAGTATCCTTCTTGAGAGTAACTGAGCTTTGATCTCGCTTCTTAGGTTCTATAAAATGCCTTGAATGCCTTTTCTTCTAATAAATTGGTGAATCTAAGGATATTCATGAGAGGATATGCTTAATTTAGATTCTACCCATCATTATAAAGAAATTCTTTGTTTTTCGTTACCCAATTGTACTCATTTTTTCCCACTAACTTTTTTCAATATTCCAATGAGGAAGAGGGGGAAAGATTCTACAACAATTAAATTTGATTTGCTTTAGAATTGAACGTGGTAGAGAAATTTTCAGAATCTTGAAAGTCAGCTTTTTGGCCTGTGAGGGGCAGGGTCATTTTTATAAATGATGCATGCTATGCAAAACCTTCCACTTGTTTATTGAATATCAGTTTCTTAGATGAATGGCATTAGATTATGTGTCATTTATATCATAATAAAGGTCTTTAAAATTCAGTTGTCAGAGTAATAGATGACAGATTTATGTGTTATTTTTTTCTTCACTCTTTTTTTCACTCTCTTATTCTCACACCAGCCATACATTCACGCCAGTCTCTTTTTTGACTGAATTCTGTTAGAACATGATTCTTGCTTTCTATTGATAACTTAAGGAACAAAAAGCAATCAAAATTTAGCATATAATTGAAAGCAATGTTGCCTGAGTGATTTGGAACAGACTGAAACAAAAATGCAATAGATCTGCCATATGGAAAGTAATATGCCTTTTTATTTTTCTGTTACTTTCTTCAATTATCATTGAAAACAAGACTAAGAATTTTAATATTGTGTTGGAAGATGTAAGCATTTTAAATACTAGAACATATTCATCTTTGTTTTATCATTAGTAGGATATTAGCACTTTTGAAGCTAAGATGGTTTTGGTTCTTTTTTTGATTTTATTATTTTGGAGGATTTTGACTTTCTCAGCATTAGTCTTCATATTGTTTTTCTCACTCCATTCTTACTCTTTCATTAAGACGACAGTGCCTTTTCCTAAACAGACACACTTGGCATAAGAAAGTGAAGCTGGCTCAGGGTAAAAGAAACAGAATTTTGACTATAAAGAAAATAAATTCCTGTTTATGCAAGGCCAAATCTCTCTGAGGAAAGACCCATGGTCCGGGCGCAGTGGCTCATGCCTATAGTTCCAACACTTAGGGAGGCCGAGGCGGGCAGATCACTTGAGGCCAGAAGTTTGAGACCAGCCTGGTCAACATGATGAAACCCCATCTCTACTAAAAATACAAACACTACCCAGGTGTCATGGTGCATGCCTGTAATCCCAGCTGCTCGGGAGGCTGAGGCAGATAATTGCTTGAACCTGGGAGGCAAAGGCTGCAGTGAGCTGAGATCATGCCATTGCACTCCAGCCTGGGCGAGAGAGTGAGACTCCATCTCAAAAAATGACCTATGATCTGAGTCAAAAAATGAGCCTAAAATATGAATGTGTGATTAGATATTGACAGAATGTCGATTAACAGTGTAAAATAAGATTAGATAATATATTAAAAGGAGTAGGTGCTAGTGAAATTTATTTACTTGGTAAATAAAATTGGTTAACAGCTCAGTTATGTAGTCAAATTTAGCAAAGAAATCGAACATAGTTATGAAAAAAACAATGGTATAATTATTTGTGATTTTAAAATATTATCATCTTGTATTTTTTTTCCTATAGCTATCTCTACATGATTGTGGAAGTTAATAGTTATAATTATAATAAACATCCATAGCCGTGAGAGGAGTTGAAAGTCTGCCATTTGGTGGGCAGTGTTCTTGAATGTTAATAAAAGTGTTCATTAATATTTTCACTCGTTTTTCTTCTATTAAACGGATCGAGCCTTTCTTGTCTAGGCTTACCTAGTAGCACAAACATCACTGAAGATACATAAGTTTCTAATGTTCTGTCTATAAATGCATTTGTGAGCACACAGACACGTATCATACCCACTATATTAGGACATCACTTTCTATGTCCAGTCCCAGAATGGTTGCTCTCTTTTATTGATGCTAATAGGGATGAGATTTTATTGAGGTATTGAGAAGAAATACTTTAGTCTCAGGAAGTCCAATGCCTGCAACAGGAATTTGTCTTTGATGCAGGTTTGTGAGTAAAATGTTAAGTAGGTATCTGTCAAGAGCTCTTGAGAAAACTCTTCCTGAAAAGAACACAAAATGCCAGAGTACTTCTACTCTTTCTAAGACTTCATTCTCTGTGCTAAATATGGAATAAACATGTACTATTAAAGGTTGTTGTAGACACGCAGTTCTTTTGTGACCTTAAGGGAAAAGCCAAGCTACACACAGAGGCATATTCCACTGATCATCCCCTTCCTGATCTTCTAGAATAAAACTAGCTATTATCTACTAGCATCTTGTCATGTGAGCAAAGTAAAAACATTTTGGATAAGTTTGTTGGAATTTTTGCTACTTGCACATGAAGGTTTCTTAAATATTTAGTCATTCACTAAGCAATGTGTTTTTCCATGTTAATCAGTTTATTGAATAACAAGAGAGTGATATTCTATTGTTCAATTGTTCTATTTTGCCAGCTTAAAACCACAAATAGCAAGATTTGATATCTAATCAAATATATCAATATAACTCACATAGATCTCATCTAAAAAGATTAATCCAGCCAGGCCTGGTAGCTTATGCCTGTAATTCTAGCACTTTTGGAGGCCTAGGTGGACAGATGGCTTGAGCCTAGGAGTTTGAGACCAGCCTGAGCAACAGAGTGAGACCCTGTGTCCACATAAAATAGAAAATAAATAAAAATAAAAATAGCTGGGCATGGTGGAGTGCATCTGTAGTCCCAGCTACTTGGGAGGCCAAGGTGAAAGGATCTCTTGAGCTCAGGAGGCCAAAGGTGCAGTGAAATGAGATGGCACCACTGCACTCCAGCCTGGGCAACAGAGAAAAACCGTTTCTCCAAAAAAATGAAAAATAAATAAAAAAGATTAAATCCTTAATTAAAAAGAAGCAATTAACTTAAATTTTAAAGGAGCCACAGGGAATATTTATGTGTGTGTGTGTCATCTGGTTTCATTACTCTAATAATTAAAAAATTATCTCTCACCCTTTTGAAAAATGTAAGATCATATGTACAGCCACCACATCAGAGGTTAGCTGTGTTAAGCTCACTAAAATAATATACAATGCATGTGGGGAATGGAAAATAGAATTTGGAATATTCTTGAAAATTCTCAGTGATAATAATTCATATAGAAAGTCACATAAAATAATGGGCTTTTAAAATAAAGTAGCAATGAATCAGTAGTTTTTTAAATTTTTATTTAAAATACAATGTTCCTTTGTTTTTCTTATTTCTCCTTCTTTTAAAATTATACATATGGCATGGCATCATGTTATTCATAATCTTATGAGATACCACAAATCATGAACAATCTGTAACACAAAAGATGTGGAAAATTCGGAAATGAGTGATATTTTCAGTTGAATAACTGATTATGAAAGAAATTTGAGATGAATTTGATGGGTTTAATTTTAGTACTGTGCAATTTCCTATTCTCTCAACCAAATGCCATAAGTATTAGAAAGTCACTGATTATGTATATGCCTAAAACTATGCCTATCCCCTTCTTTACATTCATTTATATTGACAAGCATACAAGCAGGAATGATTTTTAATTTATCGTATGAATTATAATAAATTTATTGTTGAAAAGTATTATATATATTTGTATAAAATGTACACATCTCATGTAGTTTGTGTGTGTGTGTGTGTGTGCATAAATTTAGTAATAGAAAGAAACCAGTTATATTCGAAACTGGCTCTGAAATCTCTTTTGGTTAAGGAAAAAAAACCTAAATCTTAGCATCTTATATTCATATTTGTCTGTTTAAAGTTCATATCCTCTCTGCTATCATTTGAATGCTTTTCCTTTCCAAAACTTTTGTTGAAATATCATTGCCAATGTAATTGTATTGGGAGGTGGAGCCTTTAAGAGATTATTAGGCCATGAGGGCTTTGTGCTCACGTGTAACTTTAACATCTTTAAAAACAAGTATTCCTGGCATGGGTTTTCTCTTGTTGACCTTCAACATTCTACCATATAATGACATAGAAAGAAGACCTTGCAAGATGCTGGCACATTGATATTGGACTTCCTGGCCTCCAGAAATGTGAGCCAATAAATTTTTGTGCATTATAAATTACACAGTCTGTAGTAATATATACAATATATATTATATATTGTATATATATATAAATATATATATAGCAAACACAAAGTGCACTAAACATACTACTTCACATATATCTACAGCATTTTTCTTGTAATCAATCTAATACTTAAAATTACAGTCATGTACTACATAATGACGTTTTGGTCAATGGCAAATTGCATATATGATGATGATTCTATAAAATTATAATGAAGCTGAAAGATTTTTTATCACCTATTGATATCATAGCCATCATAATGTCATCGCATACTTATTAATTTGTATTTGTGGTGATGCCGGTGTCAACATACTGTGCTGCCACTCATACAAAATTATACACATGCAATTATGTACAGTACATAATTCTTAAATATGATAAATGACTATGTTACTGGTTTATGCATGTACTATACTATAATTTTTATGTATGTATGTATATATATACACAAACATACTTATAGAATATCTTTAGGAGGTATAGTAAATGCATACTGGTTTATGCATTTACTATACTATAGTTTTTATTGTTACTTTAGAGTGTTCTCCTTTTACACACACACACACACACACACACACACACACACTTCTAGAATACCTTCAGAAAGTGTTCTACCATCTAATGACATAGTAAGAAGACCTTCAAGATGCTTGCACCTTGGTATTGGACTTCCCAGCACCATGCATTTTATTCCCCTGAAGACCATCCAGTGAAACAAGACAAGATGTGGTGATGGGAGACAGTGATATTGATGATTCTGACCCTGTGTAGGCCTAGGCTATTGTGGGTTGCATATGTCTTAGCTTCTAACAAAAAAGTTTAAAGGGCAAAAGGTTCACCTTATCTTGAATAAAATTATTGGACTATTTTTCATTGAACTATTCATATTTAACTAAATATGAGTAATGACTTGACCTATTTCACCAGCTAATAATCTATTCCTTTAGGCATTATTTTATACTGCTTATAGCAGTGTGCAAATTTCATGCAGTATTGAAGTCATCTTGGGATGTTTGCAAGTGTCAAGAGTGCACACAGATGCATTAATGTAAATGTTTTCTCTGCTGTAAAGTTTAACTTGAAATTTTTGTAAAATCTTTCAACTCCTTCATCTTGCAAATAATTAAAAATATATTAGGCACACCTTGTGAGTAAATTTTTTTTGAGATCAAATTTAATAATGGCAGAAACCCATCCATTATAAACTGAGCGCCTCAACCAAAATAAAAATTATAAATATATAATCTTAACTGTATTTTTAGCTTACTTTTATTCTTTAACCTCTTATTGCCATTTTTATTCATTGAAGTTATCTAATATTTAAAACAAATTTGCTATATATTTTTAAGATTGAGATGTTAAAAAATGTAAATGATTGGCTGTGCACTTCGGTAAAATTAGTCCATCTCACAGTTTCATTATAAGGAATACCTTGAAAAATGTAATTGTAAATATGTTTCTATATTACTATATTGTATATATAACACATTTATTATGTATTTATGTATTATTATAGAGATACATATTTATCCTGAAGATGAAGTTCTAAACTAAATAAAAATTTGGGGTCTACAAAAACATTCTTTTTAACTTGCTTTTTCTTAAATTTGAAATTTAAGAAATTAGACTGTAGTATAATTACAACCAATTATAATATTGGTTATTACAAATATTATAACTACTGATAGTATTATATTATTAATTATGCTGGCTTCTTTGGAGACTGTTTTATATATTGATTTATATTAAATCATTTCCTTCCTTTTGCAACCATAGACATCTTTCTATAGAATAAACTTTGTAGACTTCTCCATTTCTGACATACATTTAAAAATGATATTGTTACTTAAGTAAATGCAAAATTCTGGCAAATAATCCCCCTGTTTATAGCTCTCGTAGAGATACAGAACATGCAAATCTATGACACATACATATTGAAAATAAGGACACTAATTTAAGTCAAGGGTAAGTAAAGATTACATTATAAGAAAATAAAGAATTTTGTTTTATATGCAACAATTCCCTTTAAGTATCCAGACATCTTTTCATATAAAATTATACAGCATCAGAGCTCTGAAATACATTTATTTCTTCAATTGACTTTTATGTATTTCTTCATTTGCTCTGTTGTCAAATATGTAAGTCACACTCAGGCATTTTATATGACCAAACTTAAAAGGAACTGCAAAAAATATGAACATGAAACTACTCAAATTGTCAAAAGGGAACATCATCAGTATTCACCAGACCAAGTAAATTTCTTTCTGTTTTGTTTGTTTGTTTTGTTTTGTTTTGTTTTGTTTGAGACAGAGTCTCGCTGTGTCGCCCAGGCTGGAGTGCAGTGGCGCGATCTCGGCTCACTGCAAGCTCCGCCTCCCAGGTTCAGGCCATTCTCCTGCCTCTGCCTCCCGAGTAGCAGAGACTACAGGCACCTGTCACCACCCTCGGGTAATTTTTTTTGTATTTTTTTAGTAGAGATGGAGTTTCACCGTGTTAGTCAGGATGGTCTCCATCTCCTGACCTTGTGATCCACCCGCCTCGGCCTCCCAAAGTGCTGGGATTACGGGCGTGAGCCACTGCGCCGGGCCAATTCTTTCTGTTTTTTAAAGAGAGATGAGGACATATAAATGAGTGACCACTTAAAATAAACCAGTATGAATGAAAGAGAAAATATTAAAGAGATATATTAATAGCTTGCTACCAGGCTGCCTTACGGTTACTTGTATGTTGTATGAACATAGGAATAATTAAACAGTAATAGACTAGGTGCTTTTGAATACAAAGGTTCGTTATACATGGTTCATATTTTGAATTTTTCATTGTTTGGTGGGTGACATAGGTAAAAAAAATTAGCTCACGATTACGTTTAATTACAATTTATGCTACTCCACAAATAATTTACAATGAAAAACACAAGTATTATCACACTGACATGCCCTAAATGGGGGAAGGTTTAATATGTTTTTGAAATATTTTCTTCCTCACAGGTACACTTATGGTAGATATATGAAATAAGATACACAAAATACATGCATTTAGATCAAAAGCCTCATAGATAATTACAGGATATAACCTGAATGGCTTAATGGGATAATATGAGATAAGATTCCATTTGTTTTAAATGCTATGGGAGAAAACTTACCTCCATTAAAAAAAAAAACCACAAACTTATGGCAAATATAATACTTATAGGAATACATATCACAAAAAAATATACTGAGCCAATATGAGAAAAATAAAGCAGTTCCCAAGACTTGGAAGAAGCTTCGAGTTAGTAGAGACTCATATCTGGTTATGATATGAGTCATAACAATATTTACAAATATTGAAAATAAATTAACTCAAGAAATCATTGTTTTACTGTGATTCTAACCACATTAAACATGTTATTTTTAATCAAATGAAAGAAACACATATTGATTAAAGGTTTTTTTTTAACTCCAAAAATAGGCACTCTAATGTTCATTTGTTAGCTCCATGGTCATTAAAGATTTAGAATCCTTCTGCAATTTTTCATCATCTTAGATCTTTTCTCCTGAATGGTTCCTCATAATGTAATCAAGGTGCTAAATCTCAGCTATTAAATCTATATTTTCAGAGCATGAGGTTGAAAATTTTGAGTCAGAATACACACACAAACACACACACACACCCCAACACACACACACACCATTCCATTGCTCAGGGGTTTGTTATTGACTGGTAGGTCAAAAAGAATATTTGGATGAGCAACTAAAGTCTTTCTCATTACAGGTAATGAGAAGAAAAGGGAAAGACGAAGGAAATTCTCTTACTAGATGTTAAATCAGTGTTATGCTTTCCATAATGTAAACTGTGTAGTGTTTATATAAATATTAATAGAAGAATAAATTGAAGAGTATACCTTTGAAAGCTAAGATAATACATATTAGACTCTTTTCATTAAGAAGCAGAATCAATAAATTTTAAAACTAGTATTTATACTAAGAGTTGGGAGAAAAAAATTACTGAAGATGGCTCTTTCCATAGATAACAAATATAACTCTTGACCAAATACTAAAGCAGCTGCCTAACTATTTGAAAGATCAGGGGAATGAACAAAGACAGATTTTGGAGGACAGCCAAAATTTGGAACTGACAAGTATGGAATGATGTTCCTGTCTTTGAGGTAATGTTCACAGTAAAGTTAATGTGACCAAAGACCAATAGAAAATGTGCTGTTTTTCCGACCTGACACTGACAGATCCTGCACTGGCAATAGCTCCTGGGAAGTAAGGGAGAAATCCCAAAGGATGAGTACCCAAGAAGGTGAGCCACAGTATTATTTATAAACTCTGCAAGGCTTGGGTTCATGTCTAAATAATGTATGTGTGCAGCAGGGTGCAAACAGGATAGCTTAGGAAAGAGAGAGAAAAAGAAAAAGAACAGAACTGATTGTCCTCCTGAAATAAAGAATAAAACAGTGGTTAGCTGGGTCAAGAAGAAAGTGAAGAAATAGGGAGATGTAGGTCAAATGATACAAAGTAGAAAATATGTAGAATGAACAAGTCAAAAGATCCAATGTACAACCTAAGGGCTATGCTAATAATAGTGTATTATATTCAGAATTTTTGCTAAATGAGTACATTATAGCGTGTCTTGCCACAGGGCAGGGAGTTGGGTGGTGGTGTGAGGAGAAATGGGTAACTATGTGAGTTGATGAATATGTTGATTTGTTTTGCTATAGTACCATCTTCCTATATATATGTATCTTATAACATCATGTTGTATACCTTCAATATACACAATAAAATTTATTTTATAAATAAAGTTTGTATTTGGGTCTATCCAGGTACATTGACTTACAGAAAGGAAACAATACTCATTAGAGGAAACTAAGAGAGTAAATCTCATTTCATAGTGTTCACAATGTACAGGATAAAGTACAAAATAATAAGGCATGCAAAGACAAGAAAATGTGTCTCATTTTAAAGAAAAATGACCATAAGCAGAGTCTAAAGATGAAATAACCCACTTGCTGGAATTTTCAAAAAAGAAGCTAAAATAGCTATTATAATTATGCTCAACAGCTAAAGCATATTATTCTCATAATACTTGTAAATATATGTCTTAGCAGAGAAATGATAGAAACCATAAAATAGACCAAAATGGAAATTTTTAAATAAAAAAATTCTGAAACACAGTTCCTCTGAGATAAAAATGAAAGCATCAGTGAACATGAAGGTATGTATAGCTGTAAATATCATCTGAACTAAGAGAAAGACAGAGAGATAGAAATAATTGAAAAATCAAAAAGAGGGCTCCAATGATTTGTTGGAAGATATCATAAAGCAAACATGCCAACCTATATTGTTGTATGGTTATATTTACTATTAGTAGACTGAGACATTCAAGAATACATATTCTAGTCCTTCGTACACCACTAAAAATAAAAATGAAAAAACTAATAAAACACAATGTAACAAAAGCTAAAACAGAATTAAGGGCAAATTCTGAAAACATCAAAGTAGTTATTAATAAAAGAAGGCAAGAAAAAAATGAACAACAAAAGGGACAAAAGAGGACAAGAGAAAGAGAACACAATAAAAAATGATAAAATTAAAATCCAACTATATAGACATTACATGTTAATGAATTTAATGCTCTAATTAACATGCAGAATTATTTAAATAAAAAATAAAGCATGACCAAACTCTCTGCTGTTTACAAGAAGGCACTGTAAAATGAAGACCCCAATAGTTTGAAAGTAAATGCTAATGCGATATAAAGCATTGAACACAAAAAATTTAATATAGCAATATTAATACAGTATAAGATAATCTTGGGAAAAAGTATCAGAGAAATAGAAGAAGTATATATAATGGGAACATGTTCAGTTCCTGAGAAAGAGATAAAAATTACAAATGATTATCTTTTTAATAACACAGCTGCAAAATACATGGAGTAAAATCAGATTTAGTTGGGGAAACAGAATTCCACAGTCATGATATAAGTGATAGCACCCCTCTCTTCATCATTTCATAAAGAAAATAGACCAAAATCAGTGAATACTTATAGAATCTTAACAACATTCTCAACCACATTGATCTTCCTGTCATTTCTGGCACACTACCCCCAATAACTCTAGACTGACGATTTTTTCTAGTGTTTATTCACCAAGGTAAAGCTTGCTGAGCAAAAAAACCGAAAAGTATCTTTTACTTTAACTTCTAATGTAATGTAAACAAATCATTTTAACATTTGAGGAAAGAAGATAAAATGATGCTTACAAGAAAATTTTTAGTTTCAAATGCTTATACTGGAACAAGAAAGGTCTCAAATCAGTATCCTTGAAAATTAGAAAAAGAGCAAAGGAATCATACACAAAAAGAATACAAAGAAGAAAATAGTAACCATAAAAGTAAAAGTCAATTAAATGGTAAAGCGACAATGATGTTTCCACGGTAATATTGTTAAAATATGCTTCTAAGTTGTTAGCTTTTGGTAAGTCTCAGGTCCTTTTTGGTTGCTAGCTAGAGACATCAGTTTCTTGAAACAGAGGTTTCTTACAGAACTAGAGTATGGAAGCTTTTTCCCACAAATTAAGGGTTCAGAGAGACAGACAGAGAGGGAGTGATAGAAAAAGAGAGAGAGAGGGAAAGTTTTTTTGTAGCCTAATCTCAGAAGTGACTTTTTATTATTTTACGCTATATTTTTCATTATAAATGAGTCACTAGGTCCAGCTTGCAACTGAGGGGAAAGTTTTATATAAATTCATGAGTAACACCAGGCAGAGATCACTGGGAGCTCTTTCAGAGGTTGCCTATAATTGTCTATCTTCTGGCCTGCCATGATTCATGTATCCCCACACAGAAAAATACGCTTCTTCCTTTCCTGTAGCCCTAACCATCTTTTCCAATTACACCATCAGTTTAAAGTTGAGGATCCTCGCATCTAAATCAAACCAAGGTGTGGATGAGTCTCCCTGGGCGTTTTCTTTTCTTTTTTTTTTTTTTTGAGCTGGAGTCTTGCTCTATTACCCAGGCTGGAGGGCAGTGGTGCAATCTCAGCTCACTGCAACCTCCACCTCCCAGGTTCAAGAGATCCTCCTGCCTCAGTCTCTCGACTAGCTGGGATCACAGGCATGCCCCATTACACCCAGCTAATTATTGTATATTTAGTAAAGACAGGGGTTTTATCATGTTGGCCAGGCTGGTCTTGAACTCCTGACCTCAGGTGATCCACCTGTCTTGGCCACCCAAAGTGCTGGGATTATGGGATTATAGGCGTGAGCCACCACACATGCCAGCCTGGGCATGTTTCCTATGCATAGTTTCTCAGATAGAGGTCCTCTTAACTTGCAAATCATGAAACCAAAAATGCAAATTATCTGCCCCTCCTCACAACCAAAATACAACGTTAGAACAGACATAGGCCAACCAATATAAGCATTTCTTTCCAAAAAGATGGAAAACTGAAGGCACAAAGGATCCATAGCACTGTTTTCAGCCAAGTGTTATAAATATCTTGATGAGATCTCAAGGGCTAGTCATGGTTCTCCATGGTTTGGGCTCTTTTTTCTGCCTTTGGAATAATTCTTCCTTTCTATGAAATGTAGTATGTGTTAGGAACTCAGTCATTTTCTCAGGCTGATTTCTGCCAGTAAAATTTCTAGAGCTCAATAGTCTCTCAATTTCACGTTGCCTCTGTCACTTTCATGCTAAACCAAGAATCTAGTAACTGATATAACGTTTTCAAACACTTTATAAGGTACGTATGACTCTTACTGAAGTTGAATCAATTAGGCAAAAGACACACACACAAACATCTTTGCGATAAGCCCTTCTTTTACCTTATTCTGCTCCTGAGGTGGCCGATGGACAACAGCCTTAAGATTACCAGTTGTCCTAATACTGAATTAAGAGTATCTTTGAGGCACATCCTTATTCTTTACAAATGTCTCTTTTTGTAGCAATGTTATTTGGAAGTAAAACCTTAGATGTTTCTGAAAAATAAACAAAATTGTTGAGTTACAGAATAACAGTCTTAGCTTCAGGGAGCTCTTTCTCCTGACCATATCCTGGATTTCAACTTTGCTCAGAAGCAATTTGTTAATGTTAGCATCTCCTGCCTGTTTGAGAGGCTCAACAATTTCAAAACCATCAAGTCCAGGTTCATTTTTTTAAAAAAAGTCTTACATCAATGGATTTCTTTCCTCTCACATTTTACTCCAAGCAGAAATAAGAAATCTAATGACACTTTCAAAACTTAGCTAAGAAATCTCCTTAACTAGATAACGCAGTTTATTAAATATGTATGTTTTTCCATGTTACCAAACAAAGTAGTATTGGCAAATTTTCTTTTACCACAAAAAAGGGATCCCTTCTTCCATTTTTCAATAACATATTCTTAACTTCCTTTTCAATGTTTACTGGTAATATCCTCAAAGTCTAGATTTCTAATAAAAATCTGTTAAAGGCAATTAAGGATTTTTCATTCATTTCTTGGTTCCAAAGTCAGTCACGACTTTCAGATATTTTTATGAGAATGTAAAAGGCAGTGGAAAGACAGGTAGAAACCATCTCTAACATATATCTGTTGCAAAAGGATGTATATCAGGTTTTTTGAATGTTTTATTATTTAACAGACAAATATTGTATATATTTATCAGGTACAATATGAGGTTTTGAAATATATACATTGAATAATTTCTACATTGAGCTAATTAACATATACATTACCTCTTAACGTCGTAATTTTTGTTGTGAGGACACTTAAAATCTATCCTAAGCATTTTTTTGTTTGTTTCGTTTTTGTTTATTTATTTATTTATTTTTTGAGATGGAGTTTTCCTCTGTCATCCAAGCTGGAGTGCAGTGGCGTGATCTCGGCTCACTGCAACCTCTGCCTTCCAGGTTCAAGCGATTCTCCTGCCTCCACCTCCCAAATAGCTGGGATTATAGGCGCTGGCCACCACACCCGGCTTTTTTTTTTTTTGTATTTTTAGTAGAGACGGGGTTCCGCCATGTTGACCAGGCTCCTCTGGAAACTCGTGATCTCAAGTGATCCGACTACCTCAGCCTCCCAGAGTGCTGGGATTACAGGCATGAGCCACCTCACCTGCCCTACCCTAAGTATTTCTTAAGAATATGATGTATTATCATTAACTGGGTCATCATATTGTAAATTAGATCTCTTCAACATGCTCCTCCTGTCTAACTGAAATTGTGTATCTTTTGACCAACATTTCTCAAACGTACGAACCATCACTACTGCCTAGCTCCTTATCAGGAGCCATTCTACTCTCTACATGTCCATGAGTTCAACTTTTTATAGTTCTACATATAAGTGAGGTAATGAGGTATTTGTCTTTCTGTGCCTGATTTATTTTACATAACTTCCTATAGCTTTAACCGTGTTGCAAACCACAAAATGTCATCATTTTTGTGGCTGAATAGTATTCCATTGTGTATACATACTACGTTTTCCTTATCCACTCATCCATCAATAGAAAGAAACATAGGTTGATTCCATATTTTGGTTATCGTGAATAATACTGCAGTCAACATGGGAGTGCAGATATCTCTTTGACACTCTGAGTACTTTTCCATCGGATATACACCCAGCAGTGCATTTGGATAATATACCCAGTAGTAGATACTACACCCAGTATAGTATGAAGCATTCCAAAATACAGTGTTTTTACTTTTATTGTTTTGAGGAATCTCTGTACTGTTTTTCACAATAGCTATACTAATTCACTTTCCCACCCACAGTGTGCAAGGGTTGCCTTTGCTCCACATCCTTGACAACACTTGTGATCTTCAATCTTTTTGCTAATAGCCATTTCATCGGGTGTGAAGTGATATTGCTTTGTGGTTTTCATTTTTGTTTTCCCGAATATGTCTACTTTTTTGCATACAACTTTTCTAAATCAGTAAGACAACCCAATTTAAAAAGGGGCTATAATTTTGACTAGATACCTTACAAAATAATATGAAATTGCTCATGAGCATGTGGAAACATATTCTAGATCACTAGACATGACGTTATACTCACATTGAAATGGCTAAATAAAAACTCTGGTAATACCAACTGTTGGAGAAGAGATAGAGAATCGGGAACTCTCATGGACTGACGGCGGAAAAATAACAAGGTCTAGCTACTTCGTGAAACTAGTTTGGCAATTTCTTAAATGGTAAAACAACATCTGAAATAAATTCTATCTATTGCACTCTTAAGCATTTACTAACTAAAAATTAAAATATATATCTACACAAAGACATTTAAACTAATGTTCAGAGTATATTTATTTTTAACAATCGAAACTTGAATATAGTCAAATATTTATCAATAGTTAACGGATATACAGAATTTGGTAAATAAATGCATTGGAATACTACTCTTCAATAAAAATATATACACTAAAGACAGCAGGAAAAAAAAAGAAAAACATGGAGTGACCGTCCCTCCCCACCCCCTAAAGCATTATTTTGACATCAAGAAGTAGACCACATGTCTACTGAAGACTACTTTCATTCCTGGAGTACCCATGAAACTTTTAAAGGTGATAGGAATGTTCCTTATCTTGATTCTGGTAATGATCTCAACCATATGTACATCAGACAAAATGCAGAGAATTTTACACTCAAATAGATGCATTTTCATAGGTAAATTATACTTTTTTAAAGGTTGATAATTTTAGAAAAAAATTAACAAGAAATGGATGCATGATTTAGCAAGTGATAGTAAAATTGACTAAATATTTGGAAAGTGAACATGTAATAATCAAGCCTATTACACTAAACTTATTACAGAAACTTAGATTACAAAGACTAATATAAAACACTAATATATAAGCACAGGAGGGAAGTAAGTTAAAAAGTTTGCAGTTTCTAAGTTGAGAACAACACTTCTAAGCATAAATACAGAAAAAAAATAATAAAAGCTAAGAATAATAAACTTGACAAGACAAAAATTTCCAATCACTCAAAAGAGTAGAAACTATTGTCATTCATATGGAACAAGCAGGCAAACGATATGGCAAAAATAATTACAGAAGTACAATGTTAAGCTAATAGACATAAAAAATGTCAAAAGCAATTAAAATGTAAATATGCTTTATTAAAAATTATATGCTTTTTTAGAAAAACAAGAATTATTTTCTCATAAATAATTTTTTAAATCAATTTATAAATCTAACCAATTATCTCCAGTAAAATATATCTTAAAATTTAAAAAATATATTTAAAGAAACATATGCTTAAAGTTGAAAAATTAGGAAAAAAAATATATTGCTTATTTCTCATTTAATCATAATTTGCAAGTAGTTTGTTGTTTGTATAAGTTTATTATAAAATTAATTGTAAATACATTTTTTAAAAAGCACCTAATATTTTAGCAAACAACTTATAGTTTTCATTTTGAAAATGGATTACATTTTAAAATTACAATTTTATATTGTGAATTTAAAATTCTAAAGTCTTAGGGACTACTAGGACCAAAATTTGATAGATATGCAAACTGTATATTCTACTCTAGTTCAGATTGGTCAATAGATAATCCATCTACTCCTCATTGTTTATTATTTTAACCACCTGTAGAGTTTACTCCCATATTGATTATTGACAAGGACCACAGTAGCATCTTTGGCTTCTCAGAGATTATTTCTTCTTTTAGTCTGAAAGTAGGATTAGAAAAAATATGAATATAATTATAATACTCTTGTATCCCAAGAATTATTTATTATTCTCTTTCCCAGACCATATTCTAAAAGAAAATGCCAAAGACTATACTGAATTCATTCAGGTAACAAAGGTACAATAAATATGTCAGTTGTGTTAGGCATTGGGTCAGGTGCTATAAATTTAGAGGCCCAAACAGACAATTCTCCTGTCATAATGGCTGAGTGTTTCCTGTTGTAGTGCGAACCTTCCTAGTGTTCTCTTTATATTTTACATCCTAGATCCAAAACCCGAGGAAAAATATGCCATTTGATGTATTCAGAAGGTTTTCCATGTGCTTACATACATAATTCCTATACATATGAAAATATTACTTATGTTAATCATGAATCTGAGTTTCCAAAAGTATCACATTAGTAATAATAACTTATGATGCCCAGGAAGAGTGGCACACTATAGTAACTATCATTGTACAACAATATAGCATCAAATAAATTTTGGAGATGACATTTTTACTCATGATTTTATTTAATAATTAGAACTTGCATTTTGGCTTCAAGGAGTACACATGCAGGTTTGTTACATGGGCATATTGCATGATGCTGAAGTTTGGGGTACGATTTATCCTATCACCCAGGTAGTGAGTATAGTACCCAATAATTAGATCCTCAACCCTTGTCCCCTTCCTTCGCCAACTTTGTAGTCGCCAGTGTCTGTTGTTCCCATCTTTATGTCTATGTGTACCCATCGCATAGGTCTCACCTATAAGTAAGAACATGCAGTATCTGGTTTTCTGTCCCTGCATTAGTTTGCTTAGGATTATAGCCTCCAGGTCCATCCACGTTGCTGCAAAGGACATGATCTCATTGCTTTTTATGGCTGCACAGTATTCTGTGGTGTTTATGTACTACATTTTCTTAAATTAACAAGTGTTTCACTTTCTTATAGGAATCTTGTAATAGTAGTAGCCTTTTTACATGCATATATATAACATGAAGAAGCTTAACTGTTTTGAAATTAAAGCTCAATTATTATGTTAGTTTTAAAGTAAACACTAAAATACACATAATATATATTTCTATATATTAAAATATACAGAATATATAGATTTTTACACTTTTAATTTTAAGATTTTTTTTATTTTGCCCCTCCCTCTTTACGTATAGGTAAAATGTCTATAGCTATATTCCAAGTTTTTAGCTTTAATTTACAAAAAAGACTCCCAGGATAATCATCTACTTTTCCAAAACTATATAATAGAAAATATACTATTTTAATAAGATAGACCTTCTCACATAATCAAAAAAATAAATGAGTACTTTTCTCTATCTTGGTCAATATTAAGTCAGGATATAACACCTGCTTGACTTAGTTCAGGTTTGTAAATCTTGTATTTTCTGACTCTATAGATCAGGACATGAGATGTTCTTACTGACAAGGCTTTAATTAGGGTTAGTTTCATGGCCATGTGCCTATTACTCAAAAGTGTTGCCTTTTAAAAATTATACCAGTAAGATACTGGCACGACTTCAAGTTCATTTCCCTGCAGTTATGGGAGCGACATAACCCAGAAACTAACCACAGTGCTTGTCTCAAATCAGAATGCTTAGGCTGAATAGCCACATGAAAACAAGGATATAAGTTTTATTTTACACTGGTAAATGTAAATCAGGAAAAGTGTACATTTAGCATACGTCAAAAGAGCTTTGACTTCAGCCAATATTAAAGAAATAATAAAAAACTATGAATACTTCTTAATAGGTATAGAGATATCTAGTTTTCTTAATGTAAACCAACATATTAACATTTATTTCTAAATATGATAGTCATAGTTACTGCTGTCATGCTAGAATATTTTAAAATAGGTAGAAAATTGCCTATATATTCTGAACAACTTGAAATTTCAAAATATATGGCTGGAATATGCACATAGATCAATGCATCAAATTAGTTCTATCTGTGAAAATAATGCAAACAGTTTTAAAACTCATTTAAAATAAACTCAGATAAAGTCACCTCTTTAAAAAATTGTTTTATTACATCTTAGTGTCAAGAGAAATTTTAGAGACATACTTGTTATGATGGTTAATTGTATGTGCCAACTTGACTGGACCAAGGGATGCTTGGACAATTGTCCAACATTATTTCTGGGTGTGTCTGTGTGGGTGTTTCTCTATGAGATTAGCATTTGAATTAGGTAAAACAGGTTGCTCCTCTTAATGTGGGTGGTCTCTTCCAGTCCATTGAAAGCCTGAATAGAATATAAACTGAATAGAAAAAAACAATTACCTTTCTCCCTGACTTTGAGCTGAAACACTGGTCTTCTTCTGCCTTCAGATGCTAAGTTAGATTGGAATTTATACAGTAAGCCTTCTGCTTCTCAGGCCCTAGGACTGAGATTGGAAATATAGCATCTGCTCTCCTGCTTACTGACTGTAGATCTTGGGACTTCTCAGCCTCCATAATTGCACAAGCCAATTCCTTACAGTAAATCTCTCTCTCCATAAGGAGAGAAAATATGTACAGAAAGAGAGAGGACACACACACACACACACACACAAATATCCACACAAAGACACGCACATACACACACACACACACACACACACACACACACCCCTCCTATTAGTCTATTGTTTCTATTTCTCTGGAGAACCTTGACTAATATACTAGTCTTACCTCTCTTTTGAGGTAGAATCATGCCCTACAGCATTTCTGAGAGGTATCTTTCCAGTTTGGCAGAACTCTTCTTCTCTCTTTCAGCATCACACACGTAACTCCTTTGGGAAATGTTTTACCTTTATACATCATTGCTTTTACATTATTCTCTGATATTCCTACACACTGGCAGCATTTCACTACAGAGACCTTTGAGAACAGTGTCTACTATTTCCTGGCTGTGTATTAATAAACATTTATTCTGATGGTTTTACATATAATTTCTTTAATTCTTATAATAAACCCTTGGGTGTATGTAATTATAACTCTCATTTTTAAAGAAAAGGAAATTGAGCATGGAGATGAGATATGCTCGAGACACAGAACTAGTAAGTAGCAGACCTGAGATTTAAGCTCAGGCGGCATGTCTCCAATATCTCTGCTAATAACAACTATGAGTTAAGCATCTTATAATTTAAATAAAATGTTTTTGTATTTAGATATTCCTTTCTATTGCCTTGATAAATATTGAATCTTATAATGAGTCTGATATAGAAATGCAAGTTTAAGGGCAAATTACTAATTTGATTATTATTACCATGTCATTTCTTAGATATAATAACTTTAAAACTTTGACTAATTCCATAGAAATCAGTAATTTCAATTTGTTGCTGATATTTGGACATGATTAAGTCATTTAAATTCAAATACCAGTATATTATGAAGCTCTCATTTTTTAAATAAATATAAAATTTATAATAAAAATTAACATTTGTGTATTAACGTATTAACGTAGGTTCAATATTCTGTAGGAGTGTCTCAGCCTCTACCATTTCAAGGTCACTGGAATATTCACAAAAAATCCTATATTAATAAATTGTTAACGGATCAATTTTCTTCCTAAAGAAGCTAAATGCAAGGTAAATATGACTAAATTTGTGTGAGGATGTGTCAGTAAATATTCTCATCAATTAAAAAATTGGAAAAGCCACATTTGAAAAGAAAGTTGAAGAGTGAATCCATAGGAGAATTGTACTACGCACAGATGGAAGGGCTGGACCTGACTGCCTGCCAGCCAGTACCTGTTCTGGAACGTGTGCGGCTACATCTCCAGAATACCTTTACTACATTAAGTGTTTCCCGGTGGCTGCCAAAATCTACAGATTTTCCTCTTAAAAGAAAATAATACCAAGTACAGCCAGGTTTGGAGGTCACAACTGAACAGTACAGTGAAAATACCAGAGACACAATTTTCTTAAACTAAATTCTATTATCTGGGAATAGCTGGAAGTTCTGAATGTAAATTGAGCTGAAGAAGAAGGCAGTGCTTTAGGTTGATGGCCAATAGCCCAGAATAGGGAGCAACATGGGAACACAAGCTTCTCTTCCCACTGTTAATTATAATATTTGAGCTGGTCCCCTTTGGTTCAAGGTACAAAAACTCAGTCAGGACTGTGTTGGGCCCAGATGGTTGAATGATTGACTGGCTACCATTTTTGTGCCAGATGGCACATCCAGCTATTTTTTCATCCAGGTTTATTTGAACTCGGACATTGTATATGAGGGAAAAAGATTATATCACAACATGAGAAATAATGATATTTGTAATATCAAGAAAGGATCACACCGAAAACTTTGGGAATAGTTATTTAATCCAAATGATTAATAAAATGCATTTTATTTCCTACATTTTTTTCCAATCATTAGGGAATATGAAAAAAGACTAAAGCATATATATTTTAAGCTAAGTTACAATGATTACTCTGCGTAATGACAAACCAAATATAGTTTAGAGACTTATCACCTAGAGACAAGAAATTGGACCACATTTGTATGCCTCTGAAGAAGAACATAATCAAAATCAATAAAGTCTTAGGGCTGGTCATTTATCATAAATGGAAAACTTTATGCTTCTCCTGAGGGAATAGTAACATTGATGGCCAAATACGTTTGGCTCATGTGGCTAAGTCTTGCCTGCTTCTGGTTCTGCAGCTTTCTTTTTCCACCCAACAATAAATCACGTATTTTTCCATTAAATAACTTAGCACATTTGTACTGGATATCTAACTCTGCAAACATTATTTCACTAGTTGATGGTTCAGCTGTGAAATAAATGGGCCAAAACTCTTTCCCTCTATTACTTCATTTAGTGAGAGAAACATAAAATAAATAAAATATATATATATTTACATACTATTTTACATATTAAACCTGCAATATTAAAAAATAGGAATCATAAGACTGTATAACAAAGAAAATGGTACAGTTATTTTAGTTAGGGTGGCTTATCATTTAAGAACATATTGAACACCTACTACTGAAATACCAATTCCAAATTGGATTTTGGAAATAAGATTATTTATGTCACAAAAGGACCAATTCAAAATTAAGCAGTCTTGGTCTGGTGCAAGAGAGAGATGCCAAACAAAAGCCATTCCCCCTGCACCTCATTTCCTTCCCTGATCAAATTTGCTGATTTAGTCATATAGTAGATAAAGATCCCCAAGGCCGAAATTATGACTGACCTTAAGCAGTCATAGTAATATTCTTACTTCTGCACAGACTTTTCTTGGACAGAGGAAGAGGAGTGTCCCAATGGAAGAAGGGAGTTGCTCTCAAATGAAATCGCCACAAGCCGTTTTGTTAATCAGCTCTTTTCACATACTTATAGCCTTTTTTCCTCCCTTATAAAATTAATCAAGAGTCAGAATTGACCAGATATTTGCGGAAAAGAAAATTCATACAAAAGGCAAAAACAAAACAATTTTAAAAGAATAAAGTGGAAACAGAGACAATCATAAAAAGCAAAGATTTCCTATGAAGTGTAATTAATTATATCAATAACAGGAGAGAACACACTAAATCAATACAATAAGAAGAAAACAGTATGAATAATATCAGCCAGAGAACATAATATAGCTTTTGGAGTGTATGTAAAGCAAATATAGAGATCATGGGCCAGTAGCAGAAAAGGGAATGAGTGTCCAAAAATTACTGGAAGAAGTCAAGTAGCCAAATAGTAAGGTATTAAGAAAGATAAAGCAAGGGATGCTGAGAAGAGAAAATTATCAAAGTAATAGAAGACGATAATTTCCTAGAAAGGATGTCTCCCTTATTTAAAGACAAATGTAATAAAAATAAAAATAAATAGACTTGTAGCAAAGTAAAATATCATGCCATTTTATAACAACAGAGGCAAAATAAATATCCTTATATTTTCTGGTGAAAAAACTGTATATAAAACCCATGAATACTCAAGTAACACTGGATTATCAAATAAAAGCATTGGAATTTAGAAGAAAATGGATCAAAACTTTCAATTCGAGAACAAAATAATATTCATACTTGAATTCTAGACAAGTTCAAATAATGAAATATAAAGATATAATAAAGTTATTCTGAGATAAGCAAAGTTTTAAAAATTGATCTATTTGGATCATTACTTGATTGCTGAGTAATTAATCCAAATTACTCAGGATGTTGTGAACAAGTATACTCCAACAAAATTAAGACTTTAAATGAGTAAAATGAGATTCAATATAAAATAAAATCACCAATTATTTGACTTAATTACCACACATAATACCATGAGAGATACATTTCAGTAATCTTTTTCTTTTTTTTTAACAAGAAAAAGTTGAATGGCATCATTTGTACCATAGATTGGTGTCTGCAGTTGTGACTATCCACCATTTCAGATAGACAATTCATCTCATGAACAGATGATGGAAACTTATGGTATCGGTAAATACAGTACTCTAAATGTATTTTCTCTTCCTTACAATTTTTTTTAACATTTTTGACTTTTACTTTAGATACGGGGAGTACATGTACAGGTTTGTTACATAGGTATAGTGCATCTAGGTGGTAAGAATAATACCAAATAGTTGTTTTTCAATCCATACCCCACTCCTCTCCTCCCTTTCAGTCTGCAGTTTCTATTGTTTCCATGTTTATATTTAGGTGTGCCAATATATAGCTCCCACTTAAAAGTGAGAATATACAGTATTTGGCTTTCTGATTCTGTGTTTTCTTAGGACTATGGCCTCCTGCTCCCTTCATATTGCTGCAAATGACATAATTGCATTCTTGTTTAAGGTTGTGTAGTATTTCATGGGGTAAATGTACCACATATTGTTTTTCCAATTCACTCCTGATGGGCACCTTGGTTGATTCCATGTCTTTGCTATGTGAAAAGCATGGCACTGAACATACAAGTGCAAATATCATTATGGTTTTAGTGATCCATTTTTCATTGGATATATGCCCAGCAATGGCATTGCTGAGTTGAATGGTTGCTCTGTTTTAACCTCTTTGAGAAAACTCCAAACTGCTTTCCACAGTCTCTGAACTAATTTACACTCAACCAACAGTATATAAGCATTCTCTGTTGTCCACAGCCTTGCCAGCATCTGTGATTTTATGACTTTTTAATAATAGTCATTCTGATTGGTATGATATGGTAGCTCATTCTGATTTTGACTTGCATTTCCCTGATAATTATTGTTGGTGAGCATTTTTCATGTTTGTTGCCCACTTGCATATTTTCTTTTAAGAAGTGTCTGTTCATGTCCTTTGCCCATTTTTAATGGAGTTACTTATTTTTGTTTAAGTTCCTTATAAATTCTGGATATTAAAACTTTGTCAGATACATAATTTGTTAATATATTCTCCCATTCTGTAGAGTGTCTGTTTACTCTGTTCTTTTGCTATACAGAAGTTCTTTAGTTTAATTTGTCCCCACTTGTCAATTTTCATTGTTGTTGCCATTGTTTTTGGAGGCTTACCTGTATTAGTCTGTTATCACCCTGCTAATAAAGACACACCTGGGATGGGAAAATTTATAAAAGAAAGTGGTTTAATTTACTCACAGTTCGGCATGGCTGTAAAGGCCTCAGGAAATGTACAATCATGGGGGAAGGGGAAGCAAACACTTCCTTCTTAATATAGTGACAGCAAGGAGAAGTGCCCAGCAAAAAGGGGGAAAGGCTCCTATAAAACCATCAGATCTTGTGAAAACTCACTCACTATCATGAGAACAGCATAAGGGTGACCACCCCCATTATTCAATTTCCTCCCATTGGGTCCCTCCCAGGACATGTGGGGATAATATGGGAACTATAATTCAAGATGTGATTTGGGTGGAAACGCAGCCAAACCATATCACTATCCAAGAGTTATTTTTCAAGGTTCATGTCAAGAACAGTATTTACCAGGTTTTCTTCTGGGATTTTTATAGTTTGAGGTCTCACATTTAAATCTTTAATCCATGTTGACTTAATTTTTGTACATGGTGAAAGATAAGGGCCGGTTTCTTTCTTCTGCATGTGGCTAGCCAGTTATCTCAGAACTACTTATGGAATAGGGAGTCTTTTCCTTATCTCCTGCTTTCATTGGCCTTCTTAAAGATCAGCAGGTTGTATGTAGGTGTGCAGATTTATTTCTGTGCTGTCTACTCTGTTCCATTAGTCTATCTGATCTATGTGTCTGTTTTTGTACTAGCATTACCATTTTCATTACTGTAGCCTTATATTATAGTTTGAAGTGGGTTTGTTCAAACTTATAGTTTGAAGTATGATGTGTCCAGCTTTGTGGTTGTTTTGTTTTTTGTTTTTTTTTTTTTTTCCCTTTGGATTGTTTTGGGTATTCAGGCTCTTTTTAGGTTTCTTACGAATGTTAGGATTGTTTTTTCTAATTCTGTGAAGAATAAAGTTGGTAGTTTGCTAGAAATAGCATTTAATCTATAAGTTGCTTTGGGCAGTGTGGTCATTTTAACAATATTAATTCTTCCTATCTATGAGTATGGAATGTTTTACCATTTATTTGTGTCATCTCTAATTTCTTTCAGCAGTGTTTTGTAGTTCTCCTTGCAAAGACTTTTTACCTCTTTAGTTAGACGTGATCCTAGGAATCGGGTGTGTGTGTGTGTGTGTGTGTGTGTGTGTGTATTGTAAATGGGATTGCATTCTTGACTTAGCTCTCACCTTTAACATTATTGGTGTACAGAAATGCTGCTGATTTTTGTACACTGAATTTTTTATTCTGAATACTTGCTAAAATTGTTTATCAATTCTAGGAGACTTTTAGTGGAGCCTTTAGGGTTTTCTAAGTTTAGAATCATATCGTAAGTGAAGTGAGATAGTTTAACTCTTTCTTTTCATATTTATATGTATTTACATGCCTTTCCAAGCCCCAGCACAGTCAAATATTCTGGTAAATTTGCAGAACAACCCAGCGATCCACAATTTAAACAAACCACTCAAGCAATTTAAATGCAGACGGTGTGAACGAGGCTTAGAAAAACTGTTTTAAACCTACCAATTCAATAATATATGTATTAGAAAATAAAATCATCATCAAGGAAAACAAAAATAGAAAGCCACAGAAAGGAACATTGAAGGGCCAATCCAAGTACTAAGAGGAGACTAAATGATCAGACTGGCTTGGGTATTTAATCCATATTACACTTATTTCTCTTGTTATGATAAATGCAGCAGCCTTTTAGAAACCGATACTGTTGGATATTCAAATAATACAACTTACTTTAGTTTGATTACATGCTCACCAGCCATCCTTCAGATCATTTAGCCTTACATGTCATGGGCTATGGGGAGAGAGAGGGCACAAATTCAGAAAATTACTCTCTACCTAACAACCATAGTTCACACAGTAAATTAAACCATAACACTGGTTTTAAATTCATTTTTATGAGCTTCGTTAGTTTTGGATAGTATGCCTGAACCCAATTAACTCTGAGATATTGCAAGTTTGTGTTTCTGAACCTATACGTGGACTTTGGTGAATTCAATGAATTAAATACTAGCTTTTGAGGCTTCTTGTTATTAAACCAGTTGGGCTGAACTAATGACACCCTCACTCTCTAATCTTTTCTTCCCTACATAGCTTAGAACAGGTAAAAATATGCTTCACTAGGAAAATCAAGCAAGGTCAGAAAGGGATGGCATATTGACATGCTTTTGAAAAACATACAGAATTTGTTTAGAATACTTAGAAGTATAACCAATAAGCATGTAATTATGAAGAAACAATTTGAGCGAAGTTGAGCAAGGCAGAAAAAGAAAGCTTATTTTGGAAAACTATAAAGTAAGTGAATTTATTTAGAACATTTGGTTCAATGAAGAAGAAGGAAGAAGAAACAATAACATTGGGTTTTTGAACTGTGGTTAGTTTATGCTGTCCTTCAAATGCAACAGTAAGAAACTTAATTTTATTTTCTATAGATAGCGTCCAGTACTATACATATTAATAGTAGAGAGATGACCAAAGTAGCTAAATACATTTTCTAAACAATTTTATTTGATGAAATAATATTGGAATGGAAATTATTTTTAAAGTTTATAGGACAGATTATGAGATAAGAAAATGAATTCATACTATACATAATTTAAATATTATTTATAGTTATATGCAGTATGCATTCATTATGTATTTATATCATCTATTTGGCATTACACAAATAGAGTAATAGTGGATAACAGTCATTTTGAACCTCTGCTGCTCTATTAGATCGGCTGAATGTTACCTAATCACATGCTCTAGCTCTTAGTCTAACCTATGAGCATTTGCTTTGCCTTAACTATAGATTATATGCTTTTCTATCTTCAAAATCTCAACAAGGATCTGTCAAGGGTGATGATTAAATTAATTATCTGTTTGTTTCGGTGAATATATCTACCCCAATTCCTCTGTTTGATACCTGTTCAAAATTACTCTTTGCTTATAAATATAGGAATCCCTTTTCCCAAAAAGTATATGCCACATTTTGGTAACTGAAAATTGTACTTGCAATTAATTAGAACATCATTGCCATGGCACAGTAATTTCATCAGTTGACCACTAGTAATTGTATGCCTTCTTTTAGAGATTGTAAGCAGACTTTTGCTTTATATTTGAATTATAGTGGAATTGATTACTATGATATTTTGAGTCCATGCATTAACCATTTTCCTATTAAGAAATAAGAGGACTGATATTAGGCTCTTTATTCTTTCTCCCAGATGACTTTGAAAATTAAACTCATAAATAAAATGAGGGGAAAAAATATCGTCTTTTCTACAAAATCCCCAAACAACTGATGTAGAATATTTGATTGAACTTTCCGCTTACGGTAATGGAGTGATTAATAAAACCATTCCTCATTACTAAAACATGCCAATCCTTTAATACATTTAACTTTTCCATAATATCATTCTCTGTTTGACTTAACTGACCTTGTAGCAAATACCCTCTGCATGTCTTTTTCCGAATACCAATTATAAATTTAGTAATGTTATTGCAATCATTGCTCATTTTTGAATGGTAAAAAAAGATTTCTTATTAATAGCACATAGATGCTGAGATAAATATCATTCATAAACTCCTCTGTAAAGCTTTAGATATAATTGTATTTTTGTAACAGGTCTGTGAATTGTTTTCTCACTGACATTAAATTCTTAATACTGCTATACTTGTAGAGCATGCAATGACAAAAAGATGTCCTTAGTCATCAGTGGAGTATGCTGCTTTTGGAGAAACAAGATCATAACTGATATCAATATTATTGGAATTTTTGTTTTTTTTAATTCTACTCATAATTCTTTTCTAATATTTCAACAGATTAGCATCACAGTTGTCTAAATAAACATTTATATTTGGCTTTTATTTCCATCAAATCTTGTTATTTTTCAATAGAAAAGGATTAGAAGAAACAGGACATATTGATTTAATCTATTGCTTCAAATATATAAAATTTTATATATTTGAATATATATTGAATATATATTTAATATATATATTATATATATTACATAATATTTAATAAAAAATATTAAAATTGCATATTTCATTATACTAGTGAAGTATGCACATACATATGCATTATGCATTCTATATACTATTACAATTACCTACAACAGAATAGATAACTTTTTTAAGTTGAATATATTTCCAGTGGGTCTTCATCTTTCAACTATCTAGTTAACAATGCTTTTAATACGGTTTGGATATTACATGTCAAGGAACTAGAAAAAGAACAAACTAAGTTGATTCATCATTCTTCTAACTTGGAAGCCTTACGCTCTTTTTTAGGGAATAAAATTTTCTCTTATATTTATTCCTTCTTGTTTAGATGTATTTTTCCACAAAAAACTGAATAATTTCTGAATTACATCTTTTGGTAATAGCACAGCTTATGTGGACTCAGAATAACATTTCTCCAGTGAAACACACCCTTCGTATGTTCTATCATGTAGAAAAATTAAAAAAAAAAACTCTGTGAGTATGCTTATCAAGTGTTAAGTAACTTTCAGTATGGTTTAATTTGAGCATATTGACAAAGTTAAAAGAATACATCTTTTAAAAATATTATACATATTTATATGTACAATTCTATGTATATATAAATTTCTACTTTCATGGCCTCTTATACATTCAATTTCTGCCTATCCATCCATTTTCTATGTGACTGTAAGTATGTGGTTCATAAGTATCTTTCAGATTTTGTCCTATCATAGCAAAGCTTGTCTTTTCTTACAAAAGAGACACAAAAATCAAGTTCTGGAAGTAGTAGTAAGAAGACATCTGACTCCTGCCTGTTTGCCTTGGGAAAAGGAAATTCTCTCAGATGTCTGTCCTCTCCTTAAAGCCATCCAGGGGAGGAGTCTTCTGTCAGTAACCTGTTTCGGACAAAAAGTTCCCCACATTAAAAAGAGCAAGTTCTCTATTTCCATTTAGATTCTTTAAGGATCTAGCCATTAAAAATTTACTTTGGATGAATTTATAGGATTATGATAACATTAATTTCTATTAACAGTTCCGCTACCTTTTTATTCTCATTTTCTGATTTGAAACTTGGAAGACTACAGTCTAATTCTGTTTCTTCAGTGTACAAAATGTTTATTTAGGACCAGATAATAATAATATATATTTGTTATTATATATTCTAATAATTTATATAAAAACATATTAATGAATTAGTAAACATATCAACTAGATAGTAAATTTGATAATTATTCAAAGTGCAGTTTACTTCCTTTTTATTATTATACTGAGTAAGTTATGTTTCCTTGTCTTTGTGCTTTCCCAAATAAACTATTATAAATATTTCATTTGCATTATTTATAAGATTATTAATATATATTCTTTAAACCCTTCGTGAACCAAGAAAGCATTGTTATGTGTGTATTTGGCTTAAGAAAATAACCTTCTAAAATAATTGTTGGTATATATAAAATAATTATATATGTAATATATAAATAATTATGTATATGTATGTGTAATTGCTGGCTTAGAAGATATTTATAAAATAAGCCTGAAGTTCCCTGAAAGAAAATGAGCAATAATCATTTCATAGGAAACATAATTTATACATAAGATATGCAAACACACTTTTACACATAGTGCGTACACACACACACACACACACACACACACACACCATGAAAATGGCCACAGATAAGATATTTCCACAGCTGTAAGCATAAGTGATCAGCCTCAAAATATTCCTAAGAAGCTGGGCGTGGTGGTGCATGCCTGTAATCCCAGCTACTTGGGAGGCTGAGACAGGAGAATTGCTTGAACCTGAGTGGCAGAGGTTGCAGTGAGCCAAGATTGTTCCATTGCATTCCAGCCTGGACAACAAGAGGGAAACTCCATCTCAAAAAAAAAAAAAAAAAAATGCTAGGTGACAATGTGTCAAGGTAGACATAATTGAACCCTAGGGAATACTTTGGATTAGATAACCTTCGTACATTTTTGATACATATGTTTTAGGTTGTAGAACGCCAAAATATAACGTAATTTCTACATGCTTATGGTAGTTCATCACAAAAATAAATAGTAAACATTGTGACTGTTATTAGTCTCCATTACATTTTATAACACCCTACAAATCAATACAAGGCTTTACCTCATTATTGATATAAATATAGAACTTAAAAATCAAATATAAACTACCTTTTCTGATTTAATTTTATAAAATTAATTACAACTAAGGTGTAATACATTCAACATAAGCTAGAGTGTTCAGTTTCTCAGAGGTTGTTTCAACAGCAATCTCTGTATACTCCTGATTATAAGTTATGTTTTATTCCAATTTTATATCTATATTTAGATATGGTTTCTGGCCAAAGATGGAGTTAAATATGCCAGAAAGAAATGGTGACTCATTTTTCCTGTTTCCTTATTTGTTTATTCACTATATATCCATGCTATATAAGTAAAATAGTGAGAGATTATAAAAGTTTGTATTTATTTCTATTGTAAATATATATTTATACTAATACTGACATTTTATAACTGTCTTGAAGTTATAGTTTTAAGGAGTTTTTTTTTACACTTTTCCTGAATTAACTCTTCTTTTAAAATCTATTCAACAGATACTTGTTAAATAGCTATTATGCAAAACTCTGTGATGTGTTTTCTGAGTGAAAGAAAATTAGAATCCTTGGGCAATAAAGAAAATAATAAGTTTTAAACCATACAGAATAAAAATAGAATCTTATTCATTTTTAATTCTAAAAAATCCTCAAGAACATAAAAAGTATTGATTTATTTTTACTTAAATGAGGATTTGATTAAAATTGTACTTAAGCATGGAATTTGTGTTTTATATCAGACAAAAACAACAGAGCTGTAGAAAGGGGAAAACGTATAGAATCATCAAATGAGAGTGGGTAGGTTGTTCTTGAAGATGAATTTGCTTGGTAGCGAAGGCATAGAAAGTTCTAGAAAAAAATGATATATTGAAAGCTACATTAGTGTTTTTGAGTTTTTACATAGATAAATACTCTCAAATAGTTTTCACATGGTAGCAAAGTTTGGTCTTCTAAGAAAAGAATCTCAAGAAAAGGAAATATTTTCTTCAGTGGTAAAGATTTATTGACATATCTCATTTTCTTTCACAGAAAGAGGCATATACATTTTTCTTTGCAATTTATGATATATGCCTTTTGTTTGCAAACCAAAATGCATTTAAAGCATGTATAGAAATGCAATTATGAGGTTGCCAAAATTTTTCATAATATATTCATTTTCTCTATAACAGATGGACCTTACATGGTATCTTAAAACAGGCAATGGAAAGAAATTAAAAAGATGTTGGCTTTTCATAAATTTGTAACTTCTTTATTTCCCCTGTTTTGTGTTTGGTGGGTAATTAATGCATAATGGCAGAACCCTCATAAATGAGATTAGTGCCCTTATAAAAAAAAAAAAAAAAACAAGAGAACTGCCTTGTCCTTTCCACTGTGCATGGACTCAGTAATAAGATGCCATCTATGAATTGGGAAACAGGCTCTCACCAGATATGGAACTGCTGCCACCTTAAATCTTGGATTTCCCAGCATCTGAATGGTGAGAAATAAATTTCTGTTTATAAGCCACCAAGTCTATGACATTTTCTTACGGCAGTCTGAACAGACTAAGACAAAACACTAATACTAATAGCTTCACACAGTGCCAATTTCTTAGTATTAGTCACCAAAGAAATACATCTCTAAGGAATTAATCAGAATACATTTCTGGATTTGGGAAGAATTAGGAGATGGTAGTATTTTATTTTCTAGGAAACAACAATACAAGGCCTGGAATGCTTTATTTTATTTTATTTTTCCTTCAGTTATATAAAATTAGAAAATGAATGAAAAATTTATATATTCTTAGATAAGCCCTCTTTCTATCCCTTATGATATTTCTTCATATAGTAGACAGTACTTTTTAATTGTTGACCTCTTTTAGTTTATCCATTTGCCTCCTTTCTAAAAAAATATTTTCTTTTCATGTGTATTGAATTTTTCCTCTATTTGGCACATTATTCTGAACTTCAGCATATTAAAAGTTTATTTTAAAATTATAATCTATAACTGATATGCACCTGTACTTCAACTCAGAAGCTTGAAGAGCGGGATACATACAGAAAGTGTCAGAATTTTCTACAATTAGTGTAAGAACCAGGTTAAAAGAATTGCCCACCCTAAAACATTCTTGCTGATCCTTTTACCTTAAAATAGAGAAAACAGTAGGAGAACTTTACATAGGGTTTGTGTGTAATATGTGTAGTTCATATTTACTAAATCACTTAACACACAATTTTTAACTCACAAATTTTATTCTGAATTATGCATTTAATTGTTGTCAGCTGGTGTTGTTATTTTTGTTTAGTTATTGAAATCCTCAAGTTAAAAAACTAATTCAGGTTTATTAAATAGAGGAATTTGAAGAGATAAATTCCAGGTAAAAATGTCAGCTATGGAAATAGTTCCCATAGTAATCAGCACCCCTTCATAAGGACCCCTTAACAGGGTAATCGATCTAAGTCCCTCCTTTCCAGTCATATTTCTTAAATAGTCATCTACATTTTCTCCTTTCAGCTTATCTGTTTATTACTGTCTACTTCATACCGCATTCTGATTAAAAGGGTCAGTGGACCTTAATTGTCAGCCACAATTACACTTCTACTGGCCTCATTCTATTATAACTTTCCAGAGCATTTGCATCACTCCTCAAACCTTGGGACCATCTTCTGCAACAGCTGGGGCTTCTGTGAACTCTACATAGAATTTACTCTTAAACAGTAAATCCTACATAGAATTTGCTCTTAAACAGTAAATCCTACATAGAATTTACTCTTCTGTTTTTTCTTATATTCACCTGAATGCTCATTTTCCATATCTTTAGTTTTCTAGTTTTTCTCAACTTATCCTCTTAAGACGTCAAATTTTCTAAAGTTCAAATCTTGTCTTTTCAGATTTCATACTCTACCTGTTTTTGACCTGATAAATTTGTTGGGCCTCACAGCTTTAAATTCTATGTATAAATCCATGATTCTCAAATATATAACTTGACCTCATTTATCTCCTGACTTATATTTTTAACTTACAACTAGTTATCTCAAGTAGTGGCCTGTCAGACAACTCAAACCTACCATTTTTAGAATTTGCCTAATTATTACTTCCTTCCTCCCTTCCCTGGTTATTGAACCTTGATTTAAATGTCTCTGAATTGTTGGACTTTATTGAGAGAAACAAAATGACATTCAGAAACATTTTCTAGGTCTCCAAAAATTGGTTTAGTAATCCATATTTGTCTTATCCTTTTTTGTTCTAACAGTATTAAGTTTGGTGAACATGCATATTCCTCACAGATAAAAACACAGTTAATACTCATCATCCTTGTCATAGTATTGAAAAGTGGTAAAATGCAAAAAATACAGAATGGAATATGAATGATTATCTTATTAAATATGTGCTTTAATTTTAGAAAATTTATCTCCAAGAATGTCTAATTTTAAAGGATTTTTAAAAATTTTTTGAAGAGACACAGTTTGCTGTCACAAGAATGAGTGGAAAATTAGAAATCAGAAATAGGATATAGTCTAATTTGGAAATGTTCAACATTGGCAGATTCATTCTAAGCATGTATGGCTCCTGGATTTGAGGAACACTGAGAATGTCGTTCTGAATAATGATTACTTATTATATAGAAAAAAATTTCAGTTGTTTTTTAGTAACCTCAAATTAGTATCTATTCTGTTTTAACTCTGCTATAACAGTAAGGGATTGAATGAGTCCTAATTTTGGTTGAAATGGAACAAGGAGAGCTGTGTCAGCATGAAAGGATCGTAGGATAACAATGTGGCCAATGGTGACTGAAGAGAATCCTGGAATTCACATCACCAGTAGAGGTCAAAAATGACACACAATATGTGAAAATGATCGCTGAATACCCTCAGACTTTTTCAAGGGAGTACTGGACTTAACTACAGTCAAATAGGATGAAATATTGAATGATTTCATTTAAGTGGTAATGAAAATGGTATGAGAAATTCCACCAGTTAAATGCACAGCAATCCTGGACCACTACTCATTCCCACACCACTTTTTCCTATTTAACTGTTCAAGTCCTATAAATTTAAACCTCTCTTTCATTGCTGCAGCCTAGCTGTAGTAGCGTCATTTCTAACTGGAGTTAAATGCATTATCTAGCTATTCACTTCACTCTGCCTTCATTCTGTCTCCTCTTTAGTATATTCTTCACATTGCCAGCAAATACAATTGTGATCTTTTAAATCTTATACTAACAGTCCTGTTTAGATAAATGTTTCACCCCCACAAAAAGAAAACCCAACACACACACACACACCCCTACACCCCACATACACACACGAAATCATATACATACACATAAACACATACTCTTTACTTCATCCATATTGGACCACTCATCATCCATGGATATATTATACCCCATTATATCTCTTGGGCTTTTCACATGTCAATTTCTCTGCCAGGAGTACATTTTGCTCTGATTTCTTCCTCTCTTTTTCTCTATCCTGTAAGGCTAATGGCAAATATCACCTTTGTTTTGAATACTCTCCACGTTTCTGTGGAATATTTAACAATACATTTTTAGATGATCCTGGAATACTGTATTATACCCTCATGTTATTATACCCATGCTGATTTCATTATACCTGGCTTTTCTTTTACATTTAGGCTTTTCAAAAGGCAGAAACCATGTTTTACTCATGGCTTTTCCTTCATAGTTAAGCAGATAGTAGATTCCCAGTAAATATATTGGAAACATAAATGAATTATTAAATGAAAAATTCTATGGAGAAAATAATATATTTTTGTATAATTTCATAGACAGAAAGCCTTTTATTTTCTTCTCTTGTAAAAGGTGACATTAAATGTGTGTCCTCATTTTATACACTACAGAGGATTTCCCTACATGAGATTATACTTGCCTGAGTTCCCACATACGAATAAAAGAATAAGCTGCTTGAATTTAAGATAACAAGATAATTAGCGTTTCATTTGCCCAGAGAGGAAATAAAGGTCCCAGTTCATTCACTGCAACACTGCTTTGGCATTCTCCTTGTCTCAGGAGTTAATAACTGAAGGGAGCAGATTATTAAACAAAGTGCTCTCTACCCAGTTTCTTCAATTCTACAGCACTTATTTCCACATTAATTCTAAAATATGGTTTCCCTCTCAAAAATCCAATGAAATTTCTGTCTAGATAAATCGTGAATAAGTCAGAATTCTTAACTGGAAAAGACGGAGCACACATCAGCTCTTTCAAATAAATTTTTAAAGTATATATGGTAGGTCAAAGAATATCTAGCAGAGACAGTAAGTTGAGATTTGAGGCTATAGAGGTTCTACAGCCCCTAAATACCCAAACCTCATCTGAAGACTGTTCTGCAAGGGATCACACTGTTCTGAAACTGGGCATAGATGCTCTGCCTCTCAATACTGGGGCTGGGCTTGACACCATAGTCTTCACTACGTCTGCTTCTGAAGGCCAAAGCCTGTTTCCTCTTCCAACCTTATCAGAAAATAGACTCTGAACACTACTTGACTCTTCACCTTGTCTGCCTTCAAATTGAGGTGTTAATGAACTTGATCTGCTTGCTGAAGCCAACATCATGTGCCTGATCCCTAGCTCCAAGCAAGGCTATATATACCAATTTCCTATAGCTGCTGGAAAATTTTACCACAAACTTCGTGGCTTAAAATAACACAAATTTATTATCTTACAATTCTGGATGTGGGGAGTCTAAAAGGGTCTTATTGGACTAAAATCAAGGGATCTTTAGGGCTCCATTTCTTTCTTGAAGTTCTAGGGGAGAATCCGTGTTCCTGTCTTTTCTAGCTTCCAGAAGCCATGTACATTTCTTGGCTTGTGACCCTCTTGGCTTGTGGCCCAGCAAGTTTGGCCAAGTTCTTCTTATATTGCCATCCTTCCAGTCCTTTTTCCAATCCTCTTGCCTAGTTTTAAGGACCCTTGTGATTATAATGGGTCCAATTGGATAATTGAGGTTAATATCCCTATTTTAAAGTCAATTAGCAACTTAAACTCCATGTGCATTTTAATTTCTCGTTATACAATTCAACATATTCACAAGCTTTAAGAATTAGGGCATAAACATCTTTGGACAGCTATTATTTTGCTTACCATAATTCACACACTACACTGGCCTGCCCAAAAATCCATGTTCTTCCCACATACCAAATAAATAAGCTTGACTGCAATGTCTGCAAAAGTCCCAACCTACTGCAATATTGAGAGACAGGACTAGCTGGATTTCCTAGACCAACTAAGAATTCCTAAGCCTAGCTGGAGAAGGTGACCACACTCACCTTTAAACCTGGGGCATGTAACTCAGCTCACACCTGACCAATCAGGTGGTAAAGAGAGCTCACTAAAATACCAATTAGGCTAAAATCAGGAGGTAAAGAAATAGTCAAATCATCTATCACCTGAGAGCACTGGGGGAGGGACAATGATCGGGATATAAACCCAGGCATTTCGAGCTGGCATTGGCAACCCCCTTTGAGTCCCCTCCCGTTGTATGGGAGCTCTGTTTTCACTCTATTAAATCTTGCAACTACACACTCTTCTGGTCCGTGTTTGTTCCAGCTGGAGCTGAGCTTTCGCTCACTGTCCACCACTGCTGATCGCCACCATCGCAGACTCACGGCAGACTTCCACCCCTAGGGATCGGGGCAGGGTGTCTGCTGTGCTTCTGATCAAGCAAGGCACCCATTGCTGCTCCTGATTGGGCTAGAGGCTCGCCATTGTCCTTGCGCGGCTAGTGTCAGGGTTCGTCCTAATCAAGCTGAACACTAGTCACTGGGTTCCACAGTTCTCTTCTGTGACCCACGGCTTCTAATAGAGCTATAACACTCACCACATGGCCCAAGTTTCCATTCCTTGGAATCCGTGAGGCCAAGAACCCCAGGTCAGAGAACAAAAGGCTTGCTGCTATCTTGGGAGCAGCCCGCCATATCTTGGGAGCTCTAAGAACAAAGACCGGTCACAGTATCAACTCAAAGTTCAAAATCTTATCAGCTCAAATCTCAAAAACTACATCATCTTTACAGGGTATAAGTGAGACTCTGGGTATAAACCATAGTGTAGACAATTCTTCTTCATTTGTGAACCTGTGAAACTCAAGCAACGAGTTACTTGCTACCAAAATGAAATGGTGGGATAAGCATAGAATAACAGTTACAAACATTCTTTTTCAAAATGAGATAAAAGAAAAAGAAAATGGAGTCGCAAGTCAAGAACAATTTCAAAACCGCACTAAGAAAATTCCATTTGGTTTCAATGTTTGGAAATAATCCCCTATGATTCTTAGATCTATGCTCTGAGACAATATTCTTTTTCATTAATGATTGCATGTGTTTGCAGATGAGTAATTTTATTCAGCCTGTTTCTTGCATGATAAGTTTGAGGATACTTATCATGTAAAACAATAAGTTGTTTTTATTTTGTACTCCTATTGCCCTCATTAAAGCAAGCTGGCCACGTCTCTGTTGGTATAATATACTAAGGAATTTTGGGAGTCTCCCATGTAAGTCCTATCATGTCATGCTAGGTTTTGTTACATTACAGTATATGTGTACACATGGATGGATGTACACATGGATGGATGCATACATGGATGTATGTTATTAGATGAGAGGTTCCTTCACAAGCCACTCCTACATACTCTCACTTCTAATTTTTGATTCCATTTAGATGACTGTGATCTATGAGTAGCATATTTAATCTTTTCAAAAAACATTTTTTAGCATGACTGCGTACTCTGACCTTTTGATCTTTCTCAGGTAATAACAAGTCCCTACTAGCAGCCACATGCTCAGTATTTTTTTTCATTATAGTACACTTTCAAGAAAATAAATTGAGTAGTTTTAGCAATTTTTGCAGTCTGAATAAGCTGGGACCTTCCAAATCATATTCCTGATTAACTTTTGTTTACAATTGTTTCCTCAATTTATTTCTTTTAGTTTACATTTTTACTATAAATAGCAAAAACAGATTAGTCCATACACTCAACACTTCGGGAATCTCCTCGACGAAATACTCAATTTCAACACATAAGTTTTGCTTCCCATGTAACTGCAAGACACAATCCTGCTAAAATTTCTGCCACGATATCATAGGGATCTCTTTTTCCTAAACTTCCAATAACATGCTCCTCATTTCTTTCTGAGTCCTCAACATTAGCACCTTTATCCTCCATATTTCTACCAGCAATCTGTTTCTGATTATTTAGATACCCTCTATGGTGCTTTAGGCTGTCTTTACCATGCTTTTAACTTCCTCTGAGTGCTCAGTAGCAGAGTCATTAGAATCCATATTTCAACTAGTAGTCTATTAAAGACAATCTAAGCTTTTTCTACCATGCTCTTCAAAACATTTTCAGCCTCTGTGCGTGGCCCTATACTGAAGCCACTTCCATATTTTTAAGGTACTTGTTAGAGCAGCAGCCCACTTTTAGGTAAGTGTATGGGCTTACCTACTTTTAGTTAAATGTGTCAGTTAGAGTTCAACCAGGGGGCAGAAGCAGGAAATACATACTAAGAGATTTGTTACAAAGAAATGGCTTACATGATTGTGAGGGCTGGCTGGACAAATCCAAAATCTATGAAGCAAGCAGTCAGGAGGAACAAGTTGAAATTCTAGAACACAGGCTTAAACTGTTGTCCACAGGTAGAATTTCTTTTTTTTTTCTTTCACATAAGATTAAGAGCTGCTCTTAAGGTTTTATAATGGATTAAATTGGACTATACGAATTATCTAGTATACTCTCTCTCACTTAAAATTAAGATATTATGGAATCTAATCATATCTTTAAAATACCTTCATTGTACCAACTATATTAGTATTTGATTGAATAACTGGGGACTGTAGCCTCCCCAAATTGACACATTCAAAAGGCAATAATACCGGGCAAGCATGTTTTCTGATTTATATCCAGGGTAGCCAGGTCTCATAAGAAAAGAAGATTTCCAAGCACAGGAAGAATGTATAAAAGGGGTTGTGTCGCCAGAAAGCATGACATATGATTTCTGCTTAAATTCACATGATTTTACCTAGGTTTTCTTTGAGGCTGTCAATGACACATTCTTTCACTTCCTGGTGGTGCATTTTTTTGTTTGTTTTTTGTTTTTGTTTTGTGTTTTTTTTTGCAATATTAACTTCATAGTACATTTTCACTTTTAATTTTACTTTATTTTCACTTTTCCTTCATTTTGTTACTTTTTAGTCTTCTTCAATTCCTCCCTCCAGTATGCTTTCAAAAGTGCTATTTCTCTGTTGGTTAAAGGGCATGAGGTTTTCATTGAACAAGATGAATTAGTCTGGAGGTGTCTTGTACAGCATGATGACTATAGCTAATAATAATGCAATAAATACTTAAAATTTGCTAAGAGATTAGATCTTAATCATTCTCAGCAGACACACAAAATAATGGTAGGTATGTAAGATGATGGATATGTTAATTAACTTGATTAAATCATTTCTCATTCTGAAATGATTAAATGAAAACATCACATTGTATACTGTAAATATATACATTTTTACTTTTTACTTATAGCTTTCCAAAGCTGGGGAAATAATGCTATCTTTCTATTAAAGTTTATTTTCTAGAAGCTGCATCTCTTTTTTCTTTTCTTTATCTGCCCTCTGCCCCATATCAGAAGTCCCAAACTCTCTTTTTATCACAGATTGTAAAGAGTCCATGTGATGTTGCGTTTTATAACTTTAGAATCAATAGCGTCAAACACCATACAAATGACCTCTGCATATCAAGATGGAAGTGGTCACAGTAGATGAGACAGTAATAGATAAGACCCTGACAACTAAAATTAGGTTTAATTTAAGAAGAAACAAGCATGAGTGAAAGCAGAACAAAAAATATTTGATCTTATATTATTCTTCAATCCAAGCACATCTAGCATTGAAAAAGTGCTTGAGATCAATGTAACACTTTATAAAATAATTACATCTTTCTTCAAAGACAAAATACTATTATTTGCGAACATTGCCAAAGTGTATCTTTATTAGAGACCTTCATAACTTTCTGTACAGGGCATAAATGTAACCATATTGAATATTTTGTTCTAAATGGCTTATATATGTTCAGCTTCATTATTCTCAAGGTCAAATGTGATAGGATTTCCTTTATGCTTTCTTGAAACTAGAGTATATATAATTTTTAATATCTATTTTGATGGTGAACTTTGGAGAAATAGATTTTTTAAATTACCATTTTCTGGAAAGGAAGAGTGTAAAATGAATAAAAATTATTTCAGTGAATTGCTTCTATTATTGAATATCGTTAGAGTCTACTAGTGAATCTGAAATTGTATTTTACGGGGTTTGAGCTTTCTAATTTTAAAGATAAGAAATTATATTTTAAAGTGTCTTTTGCAAATGTCTGAGCATAGTTTCAATTCTGAAGGGAAATGTGGGTAATCATACAATTTATTAAGGAGAAAAATAAAGCAACAAAAAATTAAAAACCTGCACTTTACAGAAAACTGGGATCAGGAAAACAAAAACAAAAAACTACACAAGCAATAAATAGTGTTTATATGTTACTAAAAGCATAGACCTGAATCCACCTTGAGTAGACACATGAGAATGTGTCACAGAAATGGACAGGAACTGTGCAAGAAGCCTAGAAACCAGGAGCTCAGAAATCACTAAGGATACAGTAACACCCAACCCAATGGAATGCAAAATATAAAATTACATATAAGGTTGAGTTTCATTACTGTGAGATTAAAAACATGACTGAGATCGGAATACACAGTGGCTAGTTGAGTGTTACAAAGCCTGGCCAAGCAATGCGAATCCAGTCTGGTTCAGGTGGTTTTCAGACTCATGCAATGGCAAGTGTCTATTCTGTTTAAAATATTGATGGGAAAAAATCCAGAATATCAATTATCTCAAATCTTTCTAGTTAGTTGATACCCATTTTGTATAGCTAAATTGGAAAATAAAACTAGCACAGAAAAATACTGGGACTGTGGCTACATACTCTTCACCTCCCACATTTTCTGACTGTCAATGTCAATATTCTGTATGTCCTCCACGTTTATCTTCCTTCTCACCTGAAAGGAAAGCAAATGTTATTGTGCTTTGAATTCAGAATAGAGTTGCACAGAGAAAGGAGCTAATACTCATCACATTTTTTATAATTCACGTTACCAGTGCATATTACTGCAAGGTTTTATCATATTGCTCCCAGAAGGAGAGGATTTCACAGAAAGATGACCATCCAAATAGAACTAATATCGAAGAGAGTTAAATTTCTAGGAAAGCAGAGGGAGAAGTGTTGGAAAGTAGGATGAAGTTTATTTCCCAGAAGTAGCATATTTGAGGAGTTTTAGCAAATAGAATTATTATAAGTGAAGACATATCTTGCAAGTCAAAAATTATGAGATATAGAAAGGCTACAACTGATGTTACAAGATCCCTTTCAAAAGATCTCTGAGCAACAAATGTGCTGTGTTTTTAAGATTTTTGCAGAAACATAAAGGAAATCCGTAACCTGGGAAGCTTGGAAAACCACCCTGGATCACTCCTACCACTGCTTCCCTGGAATCTAAAATGTACTGAATGTAAATATAACTATCAAAAATAAGGAACAAAGTGTCTACATGTAAAGATGGGATAAGGAAGAGGATGAGAAAAGTAACATTGTTTCACACAGTTGATGAAAAGTGTAATCTAATATTCCAACATGAACTAAAAATTTTAATGAAGTATTTGTTTAAGAAAGATGATAAGAACAAAAACAAAAACAACACAGGAATGCATGAATGCAGAGACAAGATGTGCGACAAGACTACAACGTTATATTGGAACTATCCAAAACATGAGAAAGGTATGAAAGGAGCAAACTTCACAATAAGTAAAAAAGTACATCAAAATACATTGATTGAAAACTGTAACTAGGTCAAAAAATTAATGTTAAAATTACATTCTATATATACTAAAAGAAAATATGGGTGAATACGTGTATAACCTTGAAGCAGGAACATCTTTACAGTAGCGAGTGATTGACATTCCAGAAATCATAAGAGAACACACTAATAAATCAAAAACATCTGCAGAAGAATTCTAAACAAAAGCAAAACAAATTAAGAGTAATGGCATATCCTTCATATTAGGGGATAGAAAAACTCGCCGGTGCATGGAAAAAGTGAATGGCTGTGGTAGCTTCAAACTGCTGCTGCCATCCTCAGAGAGAAAGGAGCAACCCAGGCTTGAGTGGGGCTCTAGGGAAGAGGTAGAAGGTACAGTGTGACCTGAGAGCTGCTGCCAGGGAACCTAGACTATCTAAAAACTCATTATTGGATTGGAAGAGACCCATGGCAAAGAAACCAACAACACATGGTTATCTTCTTTACAATCTTAGAGGCAAATTTTTACTAAATAAGTTCCAAACTGCATCTAACTGAAATAGCTAAACTACCTTTCAGTCCTGGAAGCTATGTCTCAGGTAAAACACAGATTTAAATTTTACAACAAAGGATATCCAAATTCATATCGCACAAAAATTAATATCCTTAATATATAAAGAGCTATGGAGAAGTGAAAAACCAACAACCCTGTAAAAATGGGCTAATGATATATGTAAAAAGATCAGAGAAAAAGACGTGTAAATAGCTCTTTAATATATGAAAACCTGCTCAAATTGGCTTCTAAATTTTAAGTGAAAAACACAGAATACTATTTTTTTCACTTACTAGATTTATAAAAATCTAAAAATGTGACCACATGTTCTTCAGAAAGGTTTCAGGAAGTAAGTTCATTCACAGCTCATAATGATTTTAAAAAGTCACTATAATAGAGGCAAATTTGGAAATATCTTAAAATTTACCATCAGACATAGCAACCCCAATTCTTAGAATTTATACCAAAACCATTGTGCAAATAAGGGCACAAAGCTATTCACTGCAGCAATACCTATAATCACAATAGAAGTGAAATAATTCAAATATCCATCAGGGGAGCTGATGGGTGAAATCACAGTGTGTATTAGTCCATTCTCACTATGGACTGCTATAAAAACATACTTCAGACTGGGTAATTTATAAAGAAAAGAGGTTTAATTGGCTCATGGTTCTGTGGGATATACAGGCTTCTGCTTCTGGGGAGGCCACAGGAAACTTACAATCATAGCAGAAGGCAAAGGTGAAACAAGCACATATTCACATGGCCAGCAGGAGAGAGAAGATGAAGGGGGAAGTTCTACACACCTTAGAACAACTAGATCTCGTGAGAACTCAGTCACTATCACGAGAAGAGCAAGGGGGATATCCACCCCCATGATCCAATCACCTCCCACCGAATCCCTCCTCCAACACTGCGGATTACAATTCTATGTGAGATCTGGGTGCAGACACAGAACCAAACCATATCACACTATATCTACAAAATGCAATGATTTTGTCTAAGAAGTGAAATTCACAAAGATAAAACTTCATGAGGCAGGAATAAGGGAATTGTGACTTCAAAATGACTGTTATGAATAAAAAAATAAATGTTTAAGCATACAAGAAAAATTTTCCACATGCATATCTATTTGTGAATATAATAGACATTTACATCTTCAACATTTCCAAACACAAGTTAAGTGTTAAATCCAAAGATTGGTCTTATAAGTAACTTTTCGTTGTTGCTTTTTATATCTCAGTACAAAAATGTATCCATAAATCATTAATATATATAATTTAAGAGTGTTGGAGCATAGCATTGGGAATACTATCAACTGGGACTGATATGTTAAAAGAAAGGTAAAGAAAAGCCAGGGCTTTTTTCATTCCTCCAACCCAGTGTGTGGAATATGTCTAACTCATTCATACATTTAGACTCCACATCAACTATCATTCCAATGCTATACAAAAGTGAATATCTGTTGTTTGACAAAGTAATAACCAAAAAAATCAAAATTATTTTTTCTAAGCATTTCATTCAAAATAACTGAGTGTATTCTCTGTTTATACAAAACTGGGAATAACAAGAGAAAATCACTAGCAAAAATATTTGTTATTAATAAATCTCTATAAACCTTGCCATGCAAATAAATTTTGTTACTTGATATGTTTTATTTATATTTAAAACATTTTAATTTATATATAATATATCTATGGTACATTATTCTTTGTTGTTCATACCATCATGGAGGCAAAATATAAATTCCTCTTCTACTAACTTCAGACTGGCCCTGTTATGGATTATGGTCAATATCAGCAAACGTGGTTACACAATGTTCAAGCAGAGGCTGTAGGTATTATATGTTTATGCCAGCTCTTACTCTTCTGCTTTACTGCGGAATGTTTATCTAATGCACAGGTGCTGCTTCTTTATCCTGTGTTCTGGAACAAAGGCATATGTCAATCAACTCAATAATGGAGCAAAGCTGCAGCCTGTAACAATCTTAGCCTGAAGCCCAGCCATTGCCTAGAGGAAAGTTGCAGCCAACACATAACTACATACTGCATGACTGATAATTAAATACTTATTTTAAGCCACCATAATTGTAGGATTCTTCTCTATTATAGTAAAGCTGAGTAATACTATAATTGCCTTTCATTAAAATAACCCCATTAAATACTCTTCACTATTTTTGAAAATGCTTTCAATTTTAGTCTTATTTTGCCATAATTATAAGCATATACATATTCTTATGAATAATTTCATCCATTTACCTTAAATTTGGAACACAGACTTCATAAGTATCAGTAAGTATTAATTTCTGATATGTAGGGACTGTCTTTTCTGCATGGGGTTTTTTACTCTCTTCTTAATTATATTATTTGGAAAATAAAACAATAGTCATAATAACAGTTTTGTACACTGAAAAAATACAGACATCGCATTAAATAATAAATAAGATATCAACTAATTAATAAATTCAATCAAGTACACTTAACCACCATGCAAACCTTGAACTGACAAAGTTTATTAATGTTTCTAAAGGAACACAGTCAACTAGAAGAGCATATTTGTATTTGGTTTTATTGGTATGAAATTGATTTACAGAAGAGAATTACTAGTGAATATACTTTCAAATTTTGCCTAGAGAGAAAAAACACTGTACCTGATGGGTGTTTAGTATTTTATTCAATAACTTAATCCATGTTTGTTTTGAAATCAAACATATTATGTCACTGTAGCTCAAAACTATTAAACATTTAATTGATCTAATTTACCTATCAATGGCTCTGATTACCACATATGCACAATGTCACTTGGGCAAAATAATTGGAATCTCATGCAGGTCTACTTAGAGGTAGGGAATTCACCGTACATGTGTATTCTGGTCCTTGTCTCAGTTATTGACTGTTTTCTGGGTTTTTTTTTTAAACAAAATAAAACTGATCTTGGTTAACATGAATTTTTTCTCTCATGAACAGTGCTATTCTCTGAGATCAATAAACTCAGTAACACAATTATCGACTTTATTGAGGGTCTTGAACAAAACACACAAATGCACCAAGATATTGCCATATACTCTGAATGTACCCGGACATAGCCTGTTGGACTTTCCTTTTTGGCATATCTCTACAGTTTCCATCTGCTACAATTCCCATCTTTTTTGTCACTGGGAAGATGTTTTTAATCATCCAAGTCATATCATGCAGGGAAACCTGCTGGAAAGAATCAATAGATATGCACTTTTCTGTGATCTTAAATGTTGTTTAGTAGTAGCGAAACACTTTAAGGTTTGAATTCAGATGGTAAGCAATCATTCGGGAATTATCTTTAAAATTGTTGTCCGTATAAACCAATTTGTTCTCTTATTTTCCACAATATCTATCCCTAGATTTAAGAGTTCTTCCTACTTTTACTCAACATAGAAAAGTGATAGCATAAGTGTCACATTTACCTGATGATCTGCAATTTGGATTTTAGTTGGGTTATTTTTAATTACCTTCAGGATCCATGAAAACACCGAACATGAAAGAGTCATCACTCTACAAATATTTATTACTCATTAAAAGTATTTACTATGCATGCTCTACCAAGTATCCACACTGAACAGATGCCATCACAGGCACTGTTGATAAATTAATCTGAGAAGCAAAATGGGCTGAACTACAGTGAAGTTTAAGTTAAATGGGTTCCAGAAATGGAAAGACCTGTCTGGAATCCTGGCTCTGACATGCAATAGCTTTCTAAATTTGTAAGACACATCAACTTTCCAGGTTTTCCTTTCTTGTTCAAATAATGGGGCACTAATTTTCTCTAATCATGAGAATTCAGATTTTAAAATGTGTTTGAAGTCCTAGTACATAATAGCTGTTTAATAATTTTAGAAAGCACTTATTATTGAAACAAAAATATCTCCTGCCTCCTTATTGTATATATTTGCAAAAGCAGTGTGTGTGTGCATGTGTGTATGTGTCAGTGTATATGTGTACACAAAAGACATTTAAATCTTTAAACAAGAAAACAAGAGACTTCAGTGCCATAAATATCCAGGAAAGAAATCTAAAATTAAAGAATGACATAGTTAATGAAAATCCAGGAAGTACAGTTTTACAGTATAGAAAGACATGACTTTCAGATGGAGTTGTATGACTGGTAACTGTCAGTTCCAGTTTTAATAAGATGGCTATTTTATACAGCTATTGATTTGGAAATAATGTGAAAGTATTAGGTAAGAATAGCTTCCTGAATTATCTTAGATGATCAGCTCCAATTTCCCTGCTCTGTCCTTATGATATTGAGGAACACCACTGATTTTTAAGTGTGGTAAGCCATGAGAGAAGTCATGACTTCAGAACAAAATATACACCTACATCGTTGCCCAGAGGATGATTTCTACTGGTAGCATGATTTACCTCACTGTTTTTTGAATGTTCTCAGCTTCCTTAGAGGTCATGCCTTCAGGCCCATATGATTCATCTGATAAATGTCTGAAGAAAACGTATGAGGCAGGGAGTGATAAAAGGCATCTGAAATACTTATATTACTCACCAATATCATGCATTTTTAAGTGTTTAAATACCTCTAGCAATCAAATATGCTTCTTTTTCTCCTTGAAAGAGCATTGCAAGACTAGTGAGACAAGTTTCACTTTGGCTTTTTATGGTAAAAGACAACAAAGACACACATGATTAAGTAGATCTTCCAGCTTTACACATTTTATACTAGCAAGAACAAGGGTGAGATCCTAGATCTCCTGCTGCCTGGGTTAAAACAGCAGGTTAAAGGCCTTTCTCTGCAGGTGGAAATTAATTGTATTGCTCCTAAAGAAGAGGCTCCTGAGAGAGTGCCTGAAAGGCTGGCAAAAAGCTCAATTCCCACATCCCATTTTCACTCTACCGTGAGGCAGATCCCCTTGGGCCCAGGACAGCATACTGTTCACATTTTGAAACTTCCTTCACTATTATTATAACCAGAAAGCATTTATGACTGAATTATACACTTTAAGAGATCAGGGTTTTTTTTATGTTTTGTTTTTGTTTTTGTTTTTGTTTTTGTTTTTTACTTTAGAAACTGTTATTATTCTTAGCTGATACCTGCATTTTCTTCCAAAAGGAAACCCATAACTTCAAATGCAGAGTCAGCCCAGGAAATCATAACTACTCTGATATTTCTGAAGGTACTTATTTTTCTTTTTTAATAACTCTGCCACCTCCAAACAAGCTGTAGGAAAACACACACACAACTTAAGCTCTTTCATTCATGTGTGTGTGTTTGTTTGTTTGTGTGTCTGGGTATGATTGTGTTTTGTTTTGTTTTGTTTTGCTTGAGACAGGCTCTCTCTCTGTTGCCCAGGTTGTAGTGCAGTGGGACAATCGTACCTCACTGCAGCCTTGAATTCCTGGGCTCAAGCAATCCTCTTACATCATCCTCTGAAGTAGCTGAAACTACAGATGCATACCACCGTGCCCTGGTAACTTTTTTTTTTTTTTTAATTTTTGGTAAAGACAGGATCTCACTATGTTGCCAAAACTTGTCTCTATCTTAAACATTATTTGTAACTTACCATGGGTCAAAGAATATTTTTACATATTATTTGTGTATTATTTCCAACGTATAGATTCAATAAAACATGATTTATTGCAATACTATCATATGAATAATTTTGACGGAGAAAATCAATACAAACTTTGGTAAGGTTTTCTTTTTTTTTTTCACCACTACCTAATTTTTCTCCTTTTAGTAACTTAAGGGAATGTAAATTTCAGAATGTAAAAAATGGATTTGGGGAGATCATGTTTGATTAATATATGGATGAATATAAAAGATTTTCATTTTCTGCGAGATAACAAGAAATCATTGAATTAACCAAAAAAACACTTTTCTTTCTTTTTTTTGGAAATTAAAAAGCTTTATTGATTTTCCATTTCAATATATTTTTATATTTATTTATTTATTTTATTATACTTTAAGTTCTAGGTACATGTGCACAACGTGCAGGTTTGTTACATATGTATACATGTGCCATGTTGGTGTGCTGCACCCGTTAACTCACCATTTACATTAGGTATATCGCCTAATGCTATTCCTCCTCCCTTCCCCCACAACAGGCCCCAGTGTGTGATGTTCCCCACCCTGTGTCCAAGTGTTTTCATTTTTCAATTCCCACCTATGAGTGAGAACATGTGGTAAAACACTTTTATTTCAAGTTAGTGAAGAATAGAGGATACAAGAAAATTTGTGAAAAACAAACTCCAAACTCCAGATGATTAACACTTCCTAGGTAAGCAAGCGATGGGAAGCTTTCATATTTTATAGATAGATAGATATAATTTAGTTTTTTTAATTTTATTTTATTTGATAAATAATACATAATTTTATATATCTACGGGGTACCATGTGGTGTTTTGATACATGTATACATTAAGGAAATGATCAAGTCAGGCTAATTAACATATCCATTATC